>NC_000016.10:63956439-64259469 GCF_000001405.40 Homo sapiens
AAATCATGTTCTGAATTATGACAGAATGCTAGTATGTTGTTCAATTTGTGTTAGAATCGTAAAGAAAAATTTGTTGTTTTAATTGTTTAAAAGGAGAAATCTAAAATCCAAATAATTATTGTTATATGTCTAATTGTGATAGACTCATCTTCAAAGTAAGGAACACATGCATGTTTCAGCCACATGAAACTCGTTAAGCCGCAACTACAGAGAACACAGATTGCATTGAATAACTTTAATCCAAGCAACCCTAAAGGGCTGGGTATTGAATATACATGTTTTTGACAAGTGTTATGCTGGTGATCAGAAGTTCCAAATAACAGGCCACTCTAATCTCTGATCAATTTGATTTTCAATCAATGGGTGAAAGTCAATAGTTAATGAGGCATGGTTTGCCTTAATTGGATATTGAGAATTTCATTTGAACTCTGCTATAATAAATCCATATTTCCCTAAGGGTGAAAATATATTTTCATTATACAGATGTTGTTATGTTTTTTAGCCTTCAGAAAGAAAGAATATTGCTTTCAATATTGGTGGAAGCTTGTGGATCTTTCATATTTGATCATAAATACATGCAATGAATTATTTTCTACTTTATAAAGAACACATGGAGAATGCGTATATATGTGTTTGCATGTGCACATATGTGCATGTGCATTATCATGTTTATTTTAAAATATCATTACACTGCCTTGTACCACCTGATTTCATGGGAGTGCACATTGGTGTAGATCTTTATAATCAGGCAGTGGCAAAGAGATGAACATAATCCATATGATCAGAATTGGATTCATCTTTATCTTTTTCCTTTATTAACTCTCAGTGTCATTCTGTGATGTCCCATATAAAGAAATTTAAAAAAAAAGACCTTGAAACATAGTACTTCAAGAAAGTAACATTAATTGTGACACCATACATCAAGGCTCTATTCATTTTGGGAGATAATTTTAAAAATAATTTTCTTATTATGGTAACATAATAATTAAAGTGGCAAATAATATTATTTGGGATGATCTTTCTGGAGTACCTCACATTGTGTCACTTCCTTCCTAGGATCTACTGTGCTTCCACTCACCCTTATGTGCCGCTAGTGACTATCAAGATTGTAAAGGAGAAGAAAAATAATAAAGAAATTGTTAGTGCTGTTCTGGGTTTTGGGGGTAAGGAGATACAAATCAGCAAGTTGTCCTAAAGTTAAGGTCATTCTTTGTTAGTGCCATAGTCTGTTCAGGCTGTTAGAACAAAAGTACCACAGACTGGGTGATCCTTACACAACAAACATTTTTGTTTTCTTTTTTCACACAGTCCTGGACACTGAGAAGTCTAAGATCAGGACATGTGCAGATTCAGTATCTGGTAAGGGCTTCCTTTGGGGTTGTAGACTGTCATCTTCTTGCTGGGTCTTCACATGATGGAAGAAGCCAGGAGGGGTCTCTGGAGCCTCATTTATAAGAACACTAATCCCATTAATGATTCATGAGGGATTTACCCTCATGACTTAATTTCCTCCTAAACGCCCAACCTCCAAATACCATTATATTGAAGGTTAGCATTTCAGTATATGAATCTGGGGCAGGGGGCACAATATTTAGTCTGTAATAGTCAGGAAAGAAAACCCTTCTATGCCTCTTATTAGACATGTAACCTCAGGCTACTTATGGAGCCTTTCTGTGTCTGGGACTTTTCACCTATCAAATTAGGATAAGATGCAAACCTGTTATTTTTGGAGAGAATCAAAGGAAGACAAATACGTGAATATACTAGAAATACTACCTGAACATAGTAGGCACAATTATCATTGTTGTTGTTATTATTACTAATACTGGGAGTTTTTTTGGTATTGCATATCCTATTCAGAGATTTGTATAAGTTAAATAAATCATCACCATACACCAAAAATTCCTGATGAAATGTGGGAGTGATCTTTGTGTGGATGTGAAAAAAAATCTACTGTTCATGGACACTGACTGACCTCCAGAACTTATGCTCTTTCTTTGCACTCATAACCTTGGTGATATAAATAATTCAGTATAATCAATAAAATACATTAAATTTTGTATGTTAAAATAGCCCTTAATCCTTTTTAATCTTGAGCCATCCCTTGAATATATTTGTGTCTAACTTTATTTTACAATGGTATGTGTTGAAACACGTACATTTTATCATTTAAAATTCCACTAAATCTTGACCTTCATTACTCGCATAAAATTAACCTTTGAATAGCAAATTACAGAGACATCTGGAAGGATGAAATAGTAATACTTAGTAAAAAGTACGAATTACATAGTATACAACATATTTTGGAAGAGCTAAAATTGCTAAAAGCTACATATTTAATTATGCATGACCCGAATACTTTTGGAACAAATTTAATGTGTTCAAATAAGCAGTGTTTCAAAGGGCACTTTGGAACAGAAATGTAAACCGATATTCCCTTTTGCTACTTATTTTCTTATTCAATAGAACTTTACTTCTGAAAAAGAACATGAAAAAGATCCACTTAGTAGGTCACTGTTATTAGAAAAAAATGCAAATGAACAACTAAACCTCACTGCACAAATCAAGCTGCCTACTCTCCTGGGCATTATTTAGTGCTTAGTTTAATATTTTCCCAACATTTTAAGAGTTTTTGCAATTAAATATTAATACTTTTCTCAAAAAGAAAGAGAGATTTATTATCCTAAAGAGATGGTAGAAGGGAGGGATAGTGATCTGCATCAGCAGTTAGAATGAGGAACTGAAGAGAATGCTTCATTAAGGAAAACATGCTGAGCCTCCTTTCTCTCATACACCAAAAAGTCACAGGCTTATGTTTAACTATGTGGTGGAATTAAATAAAAAGTCAATATAGTCTCCAAATGACTGAGTTGACTGGGCCAGGAATTCTCTAATCATAGTATCGAGCCATTACAAGGTTGTGGACACATTACAGCATTGAAATATTCTGTCTAGATTTACAAAAGAAACAAACAAACAAAACCCTACAGACTAGGCATCTTTGCGTTTCAACTTGCCAACTATATAGAGATGCTCACATAAGAAGGCTACTGACTTCACTTCAATACCTACTGTATTGGATTCCATGGTCTTCCCTGCATACGTGCTCCTCCAAGACTGCAACAATGACTCCTGGGGCTGCTGAGATGAGTGTTGACAGTCGACAAATCTCAGCTAACTCCCTTTTTTTTTTTTTTTTGGCGGGGGGGATGCAACCCCAGTGGAATTAAGCTGCCTTGACAAAGTCATGCCTTCTTTCTGACAGCATCCTGCATCAATTTACTGGTCTATGTGGGGTCTAAAGGCCTGGCACCCATAACCTGATTCAAGACATTTTTGGAAATCCATTTCAGCTCCAGAGGGCCCTGTAAAAAACTTCAGGAAAATGCTATCACTGCATTTCAGTTTACATTTCTCTTTGTTCAATCATGTTTTATTACTTCCTCAACCATGTTGATCCTGAAAACACTCCTCAATAAACTTATTGCATTAAAATATCCATCTAAGAGTCAACTTCTTGAAGAACTCAGTGTGTAATATTTACTATTAATATCACGTAACTCTGTGATTTTGAACACGAGGCTCTTATTTGCAACAGTTGCATAACTGTTCTCTGCCCATGGTGTCTGAATATACACAGCATGGCTCTCTTCATTGGAACTTGCTATGATTTCCTAAGGTCTCTAAGGTTAAGCTGCTTTGTATCTATAGTTTGCATCTACATAGGTTAGCCTACTCTGCAAAACAAAGAATCCTCAAATCTCTGTGGCTTAAGAGTGTAACATTTAATTGAACAATTAATCTTTTTATTTTTATTTTTTCAGAATAGAGATATGCTTTTCTGTCACTCTCCTCAAACTGTGTATTCAATTATCTAGGGTGACTCCATCTTGTAGTTAGTATTTTCTTTAATGTGGAGCTTCCAAGGTTACTGAGACAGAGGAGGAAAAGAGATGGAGAAGACAAGTTTTCTCTAAATAGTCTTTGTCCCAGTGTGACTTGAATTATTTCTGGTTGCATTGCATGAATCAGAGCTGGTTGCATGGCTCTAACCCAACTGCATGGGAAGCTGGAAAATACTCATGGATAACTGGCATGCTATAAGTAAGTATAAAATTTCCATCCAGTAGCTACAAAATTTCCCCCAGCCACAGTTGCCCAAGTGAAATTTGGCTCTGCCAGTTCATCACATGTTGGGTGAGACATGCCAAACATAATCTCTAAATGGGTAAAATTGTTTGAATTTTTTTCTTTTTCTATGATATGTGCAAATGATGAAAAAGTCACTTTATTTTACTTATAAAAATAATCAATTAAGTCTCTGAACTTCAGTATCTTCATCTGTCATATAAAATACAAGTCCTGTCCATCAGCTAGTATTTTGATAGAAAGCTCTCCATAAATATTAATATTGATGATTTTAGTTAGACGTTGTACCCTTTTTATCTAGGGCATGACTTTGCTCTTGTTTATTATTTTTAATATTCCAACCTGGAAAAAAGATGTCAGAGGGCAATCATTGACAAAACACCATAGAACGAGATTTAAAACATGATTTGGAAAGAAATGACTTATATATGTATCAGGTTTCTGGCAATTTGCCTTTAATATGGAAAGATGTTGGCTTTAAGGAATGCCGCCTAAGTTTTCAAGGAAGCTCACTTGTTTGGGTGAGGAGGAACTTTCCAAGAAAAACAGTTTCTGATCTGTCCTAGAGATCAGCCTTTAAATATTGCCAGTCTTGGTTCCCATTCCCCACCCAAGCCAAAATCTTGCTTTGTCATTCATAAACAGTTTAACTTAGGTCAAGTTCCGTCATTTCTCAGGGCATCAATTGTCTTATTTGTGAATATTACATGAGACAATCACAGTTACTAGTACATAATGACCAGATATAGCCAGATTCCTGGATAACAACTTTCCCTCTGCCATATCCAGCCTTCTCTAATCTAAGTTCACTGAGTGCCCAACCTCAAAACTACAATTGCAACTCATGCATAGTAGTAGTATGTCTACGAATACTCAAACTCAAAGGCTTAGTGTGCTCCATACCCAAGGGTTAATATGGTTCTCTCCTATATTTGTAATGTAGTGGGATTAAGTAAATATTATTCATATCCTTATCAAATTGTTACCCAAGCCTTCTTTGGGGTCAAACTACCTTAGGTTCCCAAAAATTAACCATTTAATCCCCTAATGTGTTTTCCCTTTTTCTTTCCACAGTTGGAGCAACCCATAGGTTGTAATTTCTGGCAGATGTATTATTATTTCCCTTTCTACCTTCTAAGACTCCCTTATGTAACTAAAGTCTGTACTCTACCTTTTCCAAAAAGCTAACATCTATGTCATCTGTTTTCTTTATAGAAAATCAGAACCCTAACTGTGCCTAATTCCAAAACATTTAGCTATAGTCCTAGTCACAATCTTAGCTTGCAACCTGATCCATTAGGCATCTCTCAGTTCTGGTAAGAAAGAGCCTCATTCTTAACTTCCAGACTTATTTGTTAATGCCCATTGGAGATATACCCTCATTGGGCATGCTTAAACACGGTTGATCAAAAAAGAAATTAGTCATCGTTTCCCCTATACTTTTTGTTTCTCATCTCAGAGCATAGCTCCACCATCTAGTAATTTACCCAATACAGAGACCTGTATGTCTTTTTTGAGCCTTTCCTTTCCCTTAGCCCACACATTCTCCACCATAAAACTGTTATTCTGACTTGCTGATTTCAAATTTTGTTTCTTCCCAGCCTAACTAGCAGTTAACTAGCAGATAACTGTAATCTGTCACCTTCATCCTATAACTACTGCAAATCTGAATAACTGATTATCTAGGCTCCCCTCACTCTCATCCATTGGACACAATACACCCAGCCAGAGTCTTAAAATTCTATGCCTATTATTTCTTCTTCAGTGGCTTCCTACCGTCCTTAGGAGAAAATTTAACCTTCTTAATATAACATACATTGTCTTCCATGGTCTTGAATTGGTTTACCTATCAAACCACTTAATGTTCTCTCTCACTGATTCTTCCCCAGCCACAATGTACTCATTTACTCCTAAAACATGCCCTGTTCTTGCTCACCTGAAAACTTTCACAAACATTCTCTTATTTGCCTCTTGCCCGACTTTTGGTTACTATTCTAGTGTCTGTCTACAATTTCCTTTTTCAAAATTTCTCTCCAAATGGGTAGGATACTTGGTTCTGCTATAAATTTCTAGGGTATTCTGTTATTTCATTTTGATAGCCTTTATTATATTTAAAAACTAATCCTCATTCAATTTTCTGCCTTTCCTGCTTGTCTACAAGTGGTAGGATGGCAGACTTTACACTTGTCATGCTCACTACACGAACACACATGAACACAGTATTTGGCATATGGTAGGTGCTTACTCAGTTACTGTTGAATTAGCAGATGCCACAAATACACACTATACATTCCCTCATGGAGACTGCTCACTTCTATGGCAAGACATCAGAACTCCTGAACCACATAACACAAAGCAGTATTGCTTAAGTGTGAAAAAAATGAGCCTTCATGGCTCTATTGCTTACAAACTTTATGACCTTAGGCAAGCCATTTGACTTCCTTCTTCATCTGAAAAAAGTAGTTTTAAAAATTACTTTACTGGATTTTTGTGAGCAATAGATTAAGATCATCTATGTAAAGCGATTACCCCAGTGCCTCACACAGAGTAAACAACTGTTTTATGTCAACAATTATTATTATTTTGGGATGAGGCTATAAGGTGCTATCTGTAGGGGTGTGATGGTTAACACTGAGTATCAATTTTATTGGATTGAAGGATGGAAAGTATTGTTCCTAGTTGTGTCTGCGAGGGCATTGCCAAAGGAAATTAACGTTTGAGTCAGTGGACTGGGAGAGGGAGACCCACTCTCAGTCTGGTTGGGCACCATCTAATCAGCTGCCAGTGCAGCCAGAATAAAGCAGGCAGGATAAGTTGAATAGAGATGTCCTGAGTCTTTCAGCTTTCATCTTTCTCCAGTGCTGGATGCTTCCTGCCCTCAAACACTAGATTCCAGGTTCTTCAGCTTTTGGACTATGGACTTACACCAGTGATTTGCCAGGGACTCTCAGGCCTTTGGCTACAGATTGAAGGCTATACTGTAGGCTTCCCTATTTTGAGGTTTTGGGACCCAGACTGGCTTCCTTGCTCCTCAGCTTGCAGACAGGCTATTGTGAGACTTCACCTTGTGATTGTGAGTCAATAGTCCTTAACAAACCCCCCTTAATATATACATCTATCCTATTAGTTCTGTCCCTCTAGAGAACCCTAATACAGGGGGTTGGGGGCAGGCTTAGCTGCTTCCATTTCATCCAAAAATGGTTATAAAATCTTCAGTCCTTTCCCTTTTGTTTCCCATTGCCTTAATCATTTATGGGAATGATTCAATTACAGTTTCCAGTCAATGTACCTCATCTTAGTGCTTTTAAAAGTCCATTCAAGTTAAGCTTATTTAAGCAGTGAGGGAGGAAGTGATAGTCTTCTTTGCTGTTGACAGAACCTGACATGTGGCATGCCTGATTCATCAACTACAGACAGCATTTAACTTATTTATGAGGTGCACAGTGCAAAATTTTCATTTTCAAGATTCTGCAGATTCTGAGATGGTGTTCAAGCTTTCTAGGGTTTTTCAAGGTCTAGGGCCATTCCAGAAAAAACAAAAAAATATTATTTGTAGTAGTCACCAGGCTGCAAAATTTGAGCATGGTATCACTAGTGTTCTGTCCATGGGTGGAATCATTACTCCAAAAAGGTGTTCCCAATACTTTAAAATACATAGTGATTTAAAGTGTGTATTTATTTGTGATATTTCTCCCATTTTTCTTTTCATCATCTTAGTCCAAAATAAGATTAATTCTCTCCTAGATATCCACATCCTCTATCTAACTTGCCTCCCTGAATATCTATTTCTGGATCACATTTCACTTTCCCTATCAAATATCTATTCAACATGCAAATCCCTGTATTCCACTTCCATGCACAAAACCATTCAATGTCTTTCCACTGATCTTTAGATAAAACCTCATCATTTTAACATGGCTTAATTAATCCTCCCATTATCCATTGAGTACTCCTAGAACATCAGTTCTACCCACCCATACATCCCTTTTTTTAGTTTTTGTAACATGTGTATGATCACTCACCTGCCTTGGAAGCTTTATACAATATCTTACCTTTAATATGCTTCTTTCCATTGCACCAACCACCTTTGCCTAGTTACCTCCTCATCTTTTGAACAACAGATAAAACATAGCTGTCTGAAGAGAACTTTCCTCAGGCCCCCGTCTGTATCAGATCTTTTTGTTATACAGTGTCACAGAAAAACACTTTTACTTCACCATATTAATCTTAGTGACTATGCACTGATTCGTGTACTTACTAATTAGAATATTAACTGCTAAGACTGCAGGGACCTGCTTTTCATTGTATTCCTACATTCCACTTAGCATGTGACACATGGTCTAAAATAATTTTGGAAAGCACAATGAAACCTAACTTGAGATGTAGTCAGAATTTAGAGAAAATTAGTACAAACACGAATGCCTTCTACATCCATTTACGATACTAAGAGGATCCAGAGATTGAGTCAAGACCATTGAACCAAACTAAATAAGCCCAGAAATCCCACTTGTGACTCTGTCCGTAATAAGATGGTCTACAGTATGATCACAACCGAAACATGTATAAATAATATGAGGGTCTGTCTATGGGAGACAAAATTTGTAACTCATAGATTGATGTTGCAATGGTGGTTTCAATGTTTCTACAAATCACCAACTGAGGTAAGAGCTGCATTCAGTGAACCAGTTCTACTTGATGCTGAAGAGAAGGAGGAGAAAGTATGGAAACAGGAATAATCCTCAAGAGATTTCCAAGGGATATCCGAGATCATGAATGTAATTCTCCACTGATTCGTAGTGAGCTAACTTTATACCTGAATTAGGAAGTTACCTTAAGTCTAAATACATTAGAAGATGTAAATATCACATAATTCATATCCACTTTGGCTCAGGAAACATCATAGGCAATGAACATTCAGAAAAAAACACCACTGCCTGATGTGCACAAAACAGAGTGGCACGTGATGAAGCAAAGAGAGTATCTACAACATTTCAGACACTATATTGAAGGATATATTATGAAATATATAGATAGGAAATATATATAATTAATACTTCTCACAGTATTAGCCTTCACTGCCCTCTTTTTAAAATTTAATTATGAGCAAAGAGGATCTCGGATAAATTATTTATAAAGCCTACACAACCCGTGCAATTGTAAAGGAAGTAGTCACACAAAGGTGAGACTAACACTCTGACTCCAAGGCTATAATGTTTCTACTCTACAACAGGCTAAACTGTAAGAGAAAAATGTATAAGAGGCAAAAATCTCAATCTCTCTCTATATACATATGTCTCTCTCTAGATTTTACTCCTGCTCTTGTTTTCTCATCTTGAACACAGATGATATAAGTAGATATAAATATCACTAAGCATCAACATAGACATAACCATGTCTGTATAGTGTTGGCTTATCATTGATTTTCTCTATTCTGATTTTCGTCTTTATAATTCAGTGAACACTGGAAGAGTTACCATTAAATAATTGTATTAAATCCCTTATTATATGTTAGATTCATAATTAGACATTTAATATGAAGGTCATCCATTTGTGGTACAATGTGATTCTGATGCTGTCTAATGTATGACATTTTCCAATGTCATTTCTATATACTGAGGCTTGATAAAATATCAGACATGTATGTATAACTAGAAAGTACTAAAGTTGCGATTTGAGTAAAGAATGTAAAATGATACCATAATTTTTATTTTTAAAACACAATTTTGGCCGGGAGCGGTGGCTCACGCCTGTAATCCCAGCACTTTGGCAGGCCAAGGCGGGTGGATCACGAGGTCAGGAGATCGAGACCATCCTGGCTAACAGGGTGAAACCCCGTCTCTACTAAAAGTATAAAAAATTAGCCAGGCGTGGTGGTGGGCGCCTGTAGTCCCAGCTAGTCGGGAGGCTGAGGCAGGAGAATGGCGTGAACACGGGAGGTGGAGCTTGCAGTGAGCCAAGATCACGCCACTGCACTCCAGCCTGGGTGACAGAGTGAGACTCTGTCTCAAAAAAATAAAAACACACAATTTTCATGTTTTAGGCAGAGCCAGATTTAACCAGAATACAAAATTGAATGAGTGAAAGCAAACATCACAATTAGAGAATCCTATAGGAGCACATACAGTAAAATAAAAATAAAGAAATCAATACTTAGACATTATCTGGTAACTATGTTTTTCTCTGGTGTTGTCTATGACAACTTAATTTATCATTTTTTAAAACTTTTTCAAAAATCTTTCAGGATTAATTTCTAATCTATTCTTCATTTTCTGTATGACTGCGATTGCATGTCATAGAGAATAATGGAGTAAATGGAAAAATTGGATGAATATTAGTTTCCGTATTAAGTTTTAAAATAATATATTAAAAATTATAAAATTGCTGGTATGTGCATCTGGTTGAGGAACATTAATTGATGACCCTATAAGGGATAAATTGATTATTGTTATAGAATAGAATAGAAAGTAGAACAAATACTGGATTTATTAAAATAATATAATTTCCCGAATGCTGGAGGTGAGAGTCCAGTCTTCTTTATGACAATCAAATAGACTTTGGCTGGAAGAGGGAGCTATTTTTGCGGATTACTTTTCAAGAGATATGTAATTAATTTAGAACATAATAAGATTAAAATCGTAACAATTATAAATGAATTAGAAATCAAAATCCGAAGAATCTTCACCATGGAAAAAAGTTGGAAATTGAACATTTCTTCACCTTAGATATTTCTAAGCCCTAATAAGTCTTCAACATCATATGATGTTAGAAATATCATTTAATTTTAGAAATACTATTAATCAGCAGAAACTGCATGCCAGATTTTGGCAAAGAAAAAACAAGGCTCTTATTTCCAGAGTTACTCAAGAATAGAACAAACTTCACAGAGTTTCCAAACAAAGAACCTAAGCTAGACTGAATTACCAATTGAAAGACATTAACAACAGAAATGAAGCTTTGATTAATAGCTTGAACAAATGAATAGGTTAATAAATAAAAAATACTCATTTATTTATATAAAAATAGTTTTTACAGAATATTGAGTATGACTCAATACTGTGCTTCTAACACTATAGGCATAGTACCTGATCCTGTTAATTTCACAATGAAGTGAGACAAAATACCCATTAACAAATCAGCACCAGTGGGATGTAAAATCTGCAGTCCAACTGAATATCTTCCTATCTATAAGAAAAATAACTTTCCAACATTTAGTAGCATCAGACCCAAATTCCCATTCGTATGAACAGACTTTTGATGTTATTAAGAGAAAATGGCACACCAATTACTTGGAATAATTAGCAAAAGAGAAGTTGAAATTGAGAACCGGAAAACTGAGTATACAGTGTAACAGATTTAGAGTAAACACATTTGCAATGTGGTTTGAGAAAAAAATCAAATGAACTTTGAAGAGAAAAAGCTAAAATATATGTAAACAATGTTAATGGCATGTGCTTATGAAAAGTTATCCAGGAATGAGATAAGTAAGGCTAGAATATTTGATTGCTGGAGAAAGGATAAAAAAAAAATCTCTTAATCTATAGTAAGAGTGGGTATCACATTTTCCTGTGTCTCTAGGGTCGTGGCCAAGACCTGCTTAGTAAGAATCAGTGTTGTGAGTTATGAAATCAGTAAGAAATCAGCCATCTGGAAATAGGACTAGACCAGACCAAAAAAAAAAAAAAAAACCTTGTAATCTGTATATTATGTGAAATAAAGACAGGAAAAAATATATATATATACACAATAGGATATTATATATACAATTTTATAATTAAGTTTATACTAATGAAGGGACTTTAAATGAAAATTGTCTGAAAGACTGACTTGATGATTTATGCACAAAAAAACTAGATTATATTTTAGTAGCCCAAGTTTCTTATGTTCATTTAACATAAATATTAGATATAAAGATTTTCGTAAGTAAACTTGTATCCTTGTAATATACACTTCCCAAGTGATTTTAAAATTCTGACCAAAAATTATAAGTCCCAGATGGGGGCATTGTCCTATCTTATGTGTAACTGTACTGGAATATTTATTACATTGAATCTGGAAGTTTTATGTTGTTAACATCCACAGATTTCTGGCAAACCTACAGGGCACACTTTTTAACATTTTGAGAACATCACATTCTCCTTCAATACAGAAACAAACATTTCAGCAAGCAACATCAAGACATATTACTTGTGTTTCAAAGAAACATAGTCCCAAAGCCTTAGTAAGTACTGACCTTGAACTTAAAAACTGTATCTCATGCTCAAGGTTGCCTTGAGGTCTATATGCACTATAATTTACTGAAGTAGTGTCTAATAGTAAGGAATCAATATTTGATATTCTTTTCTGTATGTTAAGAATGTTTTGCTGGATGTTGGCTAAAATCAAAACTGTTCTTGGTCAATTAAACAGAGATCATTCCCAGACTTAGAGGCACATGGATGAAAGAAAGTAGTTGGGGCACACATAAATCTACTTTAACACCCTGGTTTCAGCATTTGCTTTATCTTTTCTCAATCTCATTCCATCTACTGGTAAGATTCAGATAATATTTATTCCACTAAGGGGTGTGAGAACTTAGGCACAAGTTATGATACCTGGTGGGAAAATTCACTGTAGTTAGTGAATAATTGTTCTACCCTAAGGAGACACAGTATATAAAATAAAACATTCCTAAAAATATATATTAATTTCAGAAGTTTTTCACAAATGTTCTCCAAGGTATACATATCCGCTGTACATTGATTTTGTTTTACTCACTTTGATTGTAATCAGATAAACTGTATAAACATACCCTAGTTCTACAAATCACCCACCATATAACTGAATATTGTCCCCAGATTTCAGCGCCTAAATTTGCATTTGGATTTATGAAAGTATTTATATCAAATGGTATTATTTTGTTAATGCACAAAAAGCTGAAGTAAACTTAATGCAAAGGTACAAACTTAATGCAAAGGTTAATGCAAAGGTACAAACTTAATGCAAAGGTACAAAGATACAATCATATGCAATCAAGCCAGAACCAGAACAGAATGAACTCAACCGATGAAGTTTTCTCAACATTTCAAAAGAGACAATGTAAGGAAGAAATAAATCTTGATGTGACACCCATAATAATATATGCTATGCAATTCAAAGAAACTTTATTGTTAGCAGTTGGTGTTAGTTTTGCATTCTGAGTAATAATTTAATTCCAGTAAATTATAACCCTTTTTTTTTTTTACTTTGGGGTGCAATGGATGTATGAGAAACTTTTTATTGTTTTAGTATTTTATGCATAATTTTATTTAGGCTAAAGCCTAAGATATTTAAAGTAGTTCATGTGAGTGTTTATTTTAATCATATAGAAACAATTATAGATCATTAATTTATTTTTGCTCTTAGAAAGATTCCCAGTTTGAGAAATATTACTGTAGTAGGAAGAACAGTTACTGTTCTTAAAGTCAAAGGTCAAGAGTAAGTGCCAACCCCTCCAGTTTCTCTGCAAGCTTTGGCATTAGCTTAACCTCACTACCCTCAATTTGCACCCAGATGAAATAGGGATAATAAAAATTCATCCTGCCTCCTTTATAAGGTGTTTGAGAGAATTAAATGAAAGACAAAATATTAGAGTGCCATGTAATCTGTAAAGTGCGGTATTAATGTAAGGGATTATTCATTTCATCATTAGTAATAAACACTTCAACTCCCTATATCACAACATTGTGTAAGTTATCTTCACAGGAAAATGTCGAATGCCTTGGAATCCAAATCGTCTAAGGAGTTCATTGCTGCCTTTCATGATTTGGAAGGTTTATCTTACAGGAAAACCCGCGTTTTCTGCCACAAAAAAATTTCTGGATTCTGGGACTTAGCAAAAAACTGCAATTTGAAGAGAAAGTGTTGGTTGATGTGTCTGCATGCAAAGAGTTTGATTATAGGCAAAAAGTTGGGCTTTGCTGTAGACCTTATAAGAATTATTTAATTTCTGTCTGAATTTCAGTTATAACACATCTTGGAAGAAGCTCATCTCTTTACCATTTCATGCACAGCTAATGAAAGAATATCATTTGTATAATCCTTAATATAACTGTAAGTGCTCTGCAGATAAACTAGAAAACACATTTATAATGTTAAGTTTAAAGCTAAATACAAACAGCTTCGATACAAAATAACACTATATATTTAATTTTTTATCTATTTGCTGACTTTTCTAAAGAACGTCTGGCAATTATTTAAAAACTACAACAGCACAAAATTTAATTACAGGCAGAAATAGAACATCAAGTTCAAGAAAAAAATGCAAATTTTTATCGTATATTATTTCGTAGTTGCTTCAAACATACAATTACCATTTCAGCAGCTGCATAGTATTCTGAACAGTGAATATATGATTGAAAGGTATATATCTTTAATCAATTTTATATGTTAAATAAGAACACATATGTCTTTTGTGTCTATCTTCGATCAAAATATATAAAATATGTTTCAATCTTTCATGTTTTAGACCTTCACAATGCTTTCCAAAAGGGTTTATATGTATATTAATTGTTCAAATAACATTAACTGAACATTATTTATCTACAGGCAATATTTCAAGAGCTCAAACTACTTACCCTGTCATCTAGAGGACACTTATTTACCTATTTTGATACCACTTTGTTTGTATTAACAATTTATTTAAAAATTCATCTCTTCCAAATCAAAGAAACAGTTAACATTTAAATATATTTCTGCTAGTTGATATGCATTGTTGTTCACTTTGCGGTGAGAATGAAAGTTGCTTATAAAGGAGTATAGACCATCTTCAAATTTTCAATAACATTGGACACAATTTTGGCATAATGTAGGTAGATTCTGAAGACAGAATTACTATATAAACAACAACTCATAAAAAATGAAGGTTGATTACTGGGAAAGATCATTTTAGAGAGTGTGTTCGAGTTTACATGAGAAGACAAGACATCAATTATTGCAAAGTTAAATAAAGAAAGAATTGGAGAGTAGCTCTAGAAACGGGCCACTTAGTCTGGGGCGCTGGTTCTTCATATGCACTCTACATTTCATCTTCTATGCCTAGAGTTGCATCCTTAGATATCACCCAGGGCTCTATGTCTTTGTAGTACACAGAGAAGAGATGGGACCAATATTATTATAAACCTTTTAATGTATTATCTACTTGTACATTATTCCATTAATTTTAAGGCATATTGAGTAGGAATTATCCCAATTTCATAGCTAATTTTGATGATGCTAAGAGAGGTCAAGCCATCCACAACTTCTCAAGAATGGTCAATGGATATGAACTTGCTGGTGTCTTAATTTAGCATCCATATTTCTGCTGATCTACCCATTTGCCTTCCATAAAGGCATGTATCCTGGAACTATGGGTACTGTCCAAGCAAATACTGATGATCTGGCTGCTGTTATATGAGAACTCATGACACCAACATTTCCCTGAACAATAATACTCCAGCCAGATTTAAATTTGGGGCACTGTCTCTCTGAATGATGGAAGTTGGTCCAGTCTCCAAAATAAAATAATTTTTTTTAGATTTCCCTTGTGTTTGGTCCTGAATTTTTCCATGCTCTCTGTCTGTTCAAAGTAGTGAAATCACAGATTACCTCAGTCCTTAGACTACCTGTCATAAAATTATCACTTGAAAGCCCTAACAATATGTGCAAAGCAAGCTCACGGAGCCATCAGTTTAACATGAAGGAAATAGAGAATGTATACAAGTTGGATTTTAGTGAAACTTCAATAATTGAGTAGGAATTGGACTGAGGAAGGAAAGGTATTATGCACATAGGGAAACATCATTTCCAAATTAAACCTTTGAATTTGAAACCTGAAAAATGTATTCAAGTAAAATTCTGTCCTCTTAGGCTGACATTCATTTACAAAATGCCACAAAAAAAGCCCTGTAGTACTAAAATTAATATATGACTAGAACTTTACAAAACATATGTCCCTTTTTTGTGAGATTATTGAATCCTTGGTTGTTAGTCGATGTAGCTAGAAAAGTTTTAATTATGACGACTTTACACATAGGAAAAATAACATCTCAATCATAATGTTTAAATTTGCATAGCTAGAATATCAGTTCTAGTTTGCGTCTGAAAATGCAAACTGAGTGTTCTATCTGCCCGAATAACATAGACTTTTGTGTGTGTGTGTGTGTGTGTGTAACAAAAGTCACTATTCTATTTCCTAGTCTTATGAGTCCCTACATAATTATTTGTGTGTTCTTACTATTCTACCAGTGTAATGGCAATATGACAAAAAAAATTGTCAAATACTACATTTCCCTCCACCCCAATTTTACACACATTGTAGACTCCAGTAACTATTCTGGAGAATACAAGGAAAACAAAAGTCCATAAATAAAATACATAAAATTATAAAAGAAACTCAATAATATAAATGACAAAGAAATTGACAAAAATAATTTAGATGGCATGTAATTCAGCCCCATATACCTTGATAACACATAAAAATAACATATGGGTGATTTTATGATTCAGGATTAAGCATGTTAAACTGAAGATTAATGTTATGAATTTAGTCTCTTCGTTAGAAGTGTCTAAGCACTAAGTGCAACAATTGAATCATTTTACTTAAATGATCAAAGAAGGAAAATCTTATGTATATTAATCTGAAAGAGAGAAAGAGAGTGTGTGTGCGTGTGTGTGTGTGTGTGTGTGTGTGTGTGTGTCTATAGAGGGGCAGGTAGTTGGTACATGCTCCTGGACAATAACTGTGACATGCCAGTGGTGAGAGCCCATGCAGATCACAATTTTTGCACCCCATAAATATTCAAGAGATGTTTGTGATATTTTGTGTTCATTGGGTGTGTTGAAACTACAACCTAAAGGAACATATTAATTTTGAGATAATGCGGTGATATAAATGTTTTCTACAGTGTCTTTATATGATTTGATTGGCTTTAATGTGATTTTTAATGGTGGTCCCCCACCCTTCAACAATAATTTTATAGCTTTGCCAGTGTAATGTTTCACTGTTTTTTCCAGCAGAATTATCAAATATGGATTTTCTCAGAATGCACAGATCCTTATGTGAAAGGTCATTGTGTTAATTTGTTGATTTGGCTGGCTTAAGTTATGTTTATTCTCTTCTGATGTTAGCAGCTCAATTCTCCTTTGGAGAATTGGTTCTCTTCTTGACTTGCTTAAGGTCTTTGTGAAAAAGGCAATCAAAATGCTTAGACTTTCCTTGGTCAAACTTATGCATGTGACTTATGACTAGAACATCTGATTAATTCTTCCAGAAATGTAAACCTTAAGCAGTGGCAGTAAGAACCACACGTGTTGTAGATGCTCCATCCCAGGTGGTCCCTAAGAAGGCTGTCCCTGGTGCACTCACCTTAAATCCCCAACCTGCCCTAGCTCCTGACTGCTGTCCTTTCTCAGATCTGATTCTTCAGCTTTGCTTTGACTTCCTGAACTTTCCCATAAACTTAGGTGAATTGTTTTCTTTTTATGTTTGTTTCTTTTATCTCCTTTCCTTTTCTTTAGTTTACTTTTCTTGTTCCTTTTGAATTAGCCACAGTCAGTTTCTGCTGCTAGCAACGAAAAAAAAAAAAAAAAAAGAAAAAAGAAAAAACCACCACTAACAGTACAACAACAACAAATTAAAAACAAAACACAAAGAAAATGAAACAGCACTTTATGCATATAGCTAATCTGGTTGAGAAATCTTATAATTGGATTTTATATTTTTATACCACTCGCCCTCCTGTTCAATTTGAGTTCAGAGGCTTGACTCCACTATTGATCCCTCATATTTATTGTGCTAAGGGGTGGCCTTGTATTCTAAAAAGGCAAAACAAAACTTCCTTTTATGGAATCACATATCCATTCCTTTCTTTACATTTAAGTGACATCAGGTTATCACTTCTGACTTAGGACGGTCTCTAATGATGGAGTTCAAAACATATTAGGTTGGTTCAAAACATACTAGGTTGGTAATTGCAGTTAAAAGTAATGGCAAAACCGCAATTACTTGTGCAACAAACTAATACTACCCCCAAAATGTGACACCTTGACATTTGAGAAAGCAGCTGAAGCCAGCCAGATGGTCATTCTTTGAACTTTTTCCACGCGTGTCTCATGAAGCAGTCATGAAACCTAGGAGTGATTTTCTTACGTTCCTCTGAAGGAGATCATAAGACCCTCATGTGAATAGTGCCCTCCCTATACCCGTAGGAAAAGACCGTTTTTGTGTCTGAAGATACAGGGACATAAAGAAGAATTTGAACGAACAAGCCTTGCCAAATTCCCCATCGTTACGTTATTACCGTTAAGTTTATTACCATTACGTTACACTATTTTATGCGATCATAGGACTACCTACTTTTTCACAAAACCAAATGTAAAAAAGATACACAGGTTTACCATTTCTCTGAGTATTCATTTCATGGCAAGGGTTGCTGTGCTATGTAAAACCTATACTAAATAAATGTGTATGCTTTTCTCTTGTTAATCTTTTGTCAGAGGGGCATCAGCCATAAATCTAGGATGAATGAGAAATAATATGTTTGCTTCTCTATGCCAACCAGTGTCCCCTTTAATGGCACTACACCTTAAGGATATGACCACAACCTGAGAAAGTCTGAATCACGGCCGGGCGCGGTGGCTCACGCCTGTAATCCCAGCACTTTGGGAGGCTGAGGCAGGTGGATCACGAGATCAGGAGATAGAGACCATCCTGGCTAACATGGTGAAACCCCGTCTCCAATAAAAATACAAAAAATTAGCCGGGCGTGGTGGCGGGCGCCTGTAGTCCCAGATACTGGGGAGGCTGAGGCAGGAGAATGGCGAGAACCCGGGAGGCGGGTCTTGCAGTGAGCCGAGATCGCGCCACTGAACTCCAGCCTGGGAGACAGTGAGACTCCGTCTCAAAAAAAAAAAAAAAAAAAAAAAGAAAGAAAGTCTGAATCACAACAAGCATTTTCCCCCCATTTTTTCCCCCAGCCAACAGCATTAAAATATTTTACACAGACCTATAATAGAAAGACCATGGTCTATCTTAGGTCTCAATTGAGGGCCGTGAAATATGTGCTTAAATAAGAAGCTTTATAATAAAGCCCAAGATTCAAAATTTAGATTTGTGTGAAGAGGGTTAGGTATATCTGAGTTCTATAAAATGCGATGAGTAGAAAGGAGTGAAGTTGATAAATGATTGGGATTATACCAAGATTATAACAAATAACTGCTATTTACTGTCATTTTATTATGCTGCTGTAATCTCATTCAGTTAGTGGTTATCCTGTCATCCATTCCCAGAATTTCAAGTGTGCATTTGACAGGTGAGTAAACCTAGCTTTTTTATTATTTAATCCTCTTGCCGAGGAGCTCATCATTGCAGGTAGAGTTGACATTCAGAACAGTATGGCCCAGCTCTAGATCTCACACTTCATCACCGGCTTAGACTGTCCTCTGGACAAGGTATTAAAGTGAGAATTAGGGAACACCAAGAGAGCCAACTTCTGGAAGTACTTGTCCATGTA
The DNA here is from genome assembly GCF_000001405.40 of Homo sapiens. Classification (NCBI taxonomy): domain Eukaryota; kingdom Metazoa; phylum Chordata; class Mammalia; order Primates; family Hominidae; genus Homo; species Homo sapiens. The sequence goes on from NC_000016.10 coordinate 63,976,095, forward strand.
CGGGGAGGCAGGGGCTGCCTACAAAATACCAAGTTGTAAAGTTCATGGAGATATACGTGTGCATATTTGAAGGTGGAAGGATGAGATGGGGGTCAGAGAGATTTATGTTATAAATGTAAAAAAATTAAAAAAAAAAAAACAGACAACATCTGAGTGGGAGATGGGAGTGGAGGGAAGAGAGCTAGAGAGGCACCAGGCTATGGTCAGTAAAGCAAATGCTTATTTCCCTGAGTCATATAGGATTAGGTCAAATGAAGGAGATTTTAGTTTGGATCTGCCTTTTACCTGAACACAGTCTTGACATAGCTCCATTTATCCTCTTTCTTCTTTGGTAAAGATAGGACCGCCTTTGACAGTTTAAACATATTCATCCAATTACATGTTAAATTCCGAGCAACACTAAACCTCCTGTTGCGAAAATGCCCTGCAATACAGATTTGCAATCTTCTAGAACCATGATGTTTATCTAAATTGTCTGAGTTTCCTGACAGGATCGACAGACTAAAGAGAAGAGAATACTGTCAATTCTTTTGAGTATTTTAGCAGATTCTTAAAGAATTACACAAATCTTTAGCTTTTTTTTAATGCAACATGAACATTTACTTTCTGTTTTATTTAGAGACACTATTGCTTGATTTTACTGTGTTGAATACGCACGAATAGATCAACAATTTACCCTTCCTCTTTCTAAGCGATTGTTATTCTCCTAGAAATATGGACCGAGTAATTAAGAGAAGCCAGTTGTGCTGTGAGGTGGAAATAACATCAAATTGACAGTCAGAAAAAGAGAATTCTCTTCCTGATTCCGCTATTAATCAGCAGAATAATCTCAAACCTGCCATAAACCTATCTGTGCCAAGTGCTTGTGTACAAAATGAGGAGGTTAGACTTTATAACAGATGATCTCTAAAATATTGTCTATTTTAAATCAATGAACACATTATTTGAAAATAAATTTCATTTTGTTTGAATAAAATTTGAATAAATATACAGCTCTCAGTGCTCATATCTTTTTCATGTCTCACCAATGAAAATCATGAGATTATTTTTGTAAACATTTAAAATGTCAATTTTTTCCAAAGAGAAGTTATTTTAAACTGTAATAAACTATGTGTTCACTTTTCACAGAACTCTGTATCTTCTTTCTTAATAGCAGTGACATATCATGGACAATGTTATTAGAACTGCACATTTAGGCTGAAGAATGAGTCCCTTAAACCTATCTTTCATACATGGATTTTAAAACCTAATATTTAGCAGACTTTGTTCAGTGATCTTAAGTTTAGTATATCAGTTTATTGAATATGTGCAAACAGTCCTTTGGAAAACTCCCTAATAAGCAATAGCATTTTACTAAAGATTTCTTCAAGAAAATCTAACGTGTGTAATATTAAAATAATATTTATGCCTCTATGCACCATTTAATTTCCTCCACAAGCTTTGAGATATTGTCTTAGTTGGTAAAGGTATTAATTACTTTGAAAAGAGGAAGAAAGATCAATGGAAATGGGACAAATTAAATAATTTTATGTTTTAGGGAAATCTGGGCAAGGGACACAATACCAACTAGTTAGCTCTGATGGAAATACCCAAATTAGCACAGATATTAACGTATATTTTTAGGGAAGGTTTTCAACATTATGTATTTAAAGCAGTAAGCAATGCTGGGTTTTTAAAAATTTTTTTTAGTCTTTAAATAAAAAAGCCATCATCTTAATTGCATTTTGTTTCATGCCTAAATTATAATATTCCTTTTATTGCAATGTAGTCATTTGTGTACATGTATGTTTCTTGTGTAGATTTCAGGTCTTAGTGTAAACCAAAAATAAAATGTTAAGCTCCCTGAACTGACTGAATGGACCCACTCTGGGCCAAGTAAAACCTGAAAAATTGAACTCCCAACCATGATGGGAAGGGAGGTGGACACACCTCACTATACCCTCTCCCTTTTGGGGCTTAGGCCCAAGTAACCTAAGAGAGTCTGTTTCATCATCTTATGATCTCTATACTAAGTCATGACTATGACATAGGGGTCATAAAATTGATAAAACAGACTCTTTGTAGCAATGAGTTTGGTACCAAATTCCAATCTAACTCTGGTATGGCATCACAGGAAAGCAAGCCAACCCTAAAGGAAATAAAAATATTTTACCCCAAAGCATATTTTCTTGACACATTTTGAAACAACCCTGCAAAGCCATCTTTTGTATGCTAAATTTGAATCTATAATCTTCTTCCCTTTCTAAGTCTTTTGTTGATCTAAGAGAGATTAAAGGAGAGTTTGACACTTCAAGGTCTGAAAAGAGACATTTACCATATTCTTTCTAAGGCTGCTACCTGGTGGTTTCATCTGCATAACAAGAACCTTGGCTCTCACAAACCCCCTTACCTTAATTCAAACATTTACCTTAACTCTTTAGACAAAGCTTAACTCTCTCAACCAATTGCCAATAAGAGAATCTTTGCCTTCACCTATGACCTGTAAGCCCCTTCTTCAAGATGTCCACCTTTTTCAAGTCAAACCAATGCATATCTTACATGTATTGATTTATGTGTCTGCCTGTAACTTCTCTCACACTGAAATGTATTAAACCTAACTGGACCCTGACTACCTCAGGCACACTTTCTCAGGACCTCTGGAGACTATTCCCTGGGTCATGGTCACTCATTGGCGCAGAACAAACCTCTAAATATTTTACAGTTCGGCTTTCTTTGTTAACATTAGCCTTGAACCCTGGGCCTTGAAAAATGTCTCTTCATAAGTAGCTGTTTGAAAGCTCCTACTCAATTTTTTGCGCTTACTTTAGAAGTCACTACCTCAAGGAAGACTTCTCTGATTTCCCCAGGGTAAGCTAAGCCCTTTTATACCTATAGCTCATACCTTTTATACCTGTAGTCACCGGTGCTTATATTCTATTTATTGCTTTTTTTTTTCTTTTTTTTTTCTTTTTTGAGGCAGAGTCTCACTCTGTTGCCCAGGCTGGAGTGCAGTGGTGCAATCTTGGCTCAATGCAACCTCTGCCTCCCAGGTTCAAGTGATTCTCATGCCTCAGCCTCCAGAGTAACTGGGATTACAGGCACATGCCACCATGCCCAGCTAATTTTTGTATTTTTAGTAGCGATGAGGTTTCACCATGTTGACAAGGCTGGTCCCAAACTCCCGACCTCAGGTAATCTGCCCACCTCAGCCTCTCAAATTGCTGGGATTACAAGCATAAGCCACCACACCCAGCCTTTATTATTTTTAAATTACATATTTTTTATGGCTCTTTCCTCCTTTAGGCTTTAAGCTCCATGAAGACAGGGATTTTGTCTGGTGGGTTTTTTTAAAATTTTACTTTAAGTTATGGAATACATGTGCAGAAAGTGCAGGTTACATAGGTGTACATGTGCCATGGTGGTTTGCTGCACCTATCAACCTGTCATCTAGGTTTTAAGCCCTGCATGCATTAGGTATATGTTCTAATGCTCTCCCTCCCCTTTCCCCCAACCCTTCAACAGGACTCAATGTGTGATATTCCCCTCCCTGTGTCCATGTGTTCTCATTGTTCAACTCCCACTTATGAGTGAGAACATGGGGCATTTGGTTTCCTTTTCCTGTGTTAGTTTGCTGAGAATGATGGTTTCCAGCTGCATCCATGTCCCTGCAAAGGACATGAACTCATCCTTTTTGATGGCTGCATAGTATTCCATGGTGTATATGTGTCACATTTTCTTTATTCTGGTGGGCTTTTAATTCAACCTCTGGAACTCGGCCCTGACTCTGACCCATAGTAGGTACACATGAGATCTTTCTTAAAAGAATATGAAACAATAAATAAATAAATCATACTGGAACCCGTGTAACATCTTCATATGTAGTAAATGTGGGTTAAAAATTACAGTATTGAATTTAGTCAGGTATGTTTATAAAAATTCCAGTTTTCTAAACACATCACTGATTCTATTCTGCACCCCCTGCCACCCCCAACTTTTTGGAAGTGTTTGTGTCACAAGAGGTGCAAAGTTAGAGATAACCAGGTGCATACCTGTTTGTTTCTTGCCACAATGTCAGGTTCTTATTAATGCTATTCCAATCACAAAAGCCATGAGCAACATGGAATTTCCAAGAAGGCAAAATTCTCCTTGGTACTTCCCATTCACTCAGAGGTCAGAGCCACAGGAACATGCAAGACACTCCACAAGTCAGTCAATATTGCAAACCACACGTAACAGTATACTTAACTCATATATAAATATTATAGACATTCCACAACAAACAAAGTAACATTTAAAGTCAAGAGAAAAGGAGACAGGAGAAAGCGTTAATGAACCAGCCCAGGGGAAGCTAAGAAGACAAAAGGAGTCCTGGTCTGGGCCAGGTGGTCAATTGGTCTTCAGGGAAGAGTGTTTGAGGTGGCAGAGCCTTTGGTGGCATATGCCACACTCTTACAAGTGTGATGTCAGTTAAGATGACCATTTTTAGTTGCTGAAGGCCTGCTCTTTTATAGTCATGGAGTCCTCTCAGAGAACTGGTGGTTAAGAGTGTGCTTGTTTGTGGCCTTATCTGGTTGGATGCAATCTTTATTTTTTATTTGTTTATTATGCAGAAAGTCTTATTCTTATTGGCAAAATGCCCTGTGAAATATAAAATGGAGTATTTTTCTAAGATGAGCTAGTTATGTCAAGGGTTCTCTATACAGTTTGCCTTTTTATTTGTAGGCCATTTGAGTGAGAAGGGCATTTCTATATAAGCAGATCCACTTTTTTCCTTTTTTGCTTTGTTTTTATACAATTGGAATAAAGGGCTTGCATTCCTCTTTAACACACAACACAGCAACGCAAACACACTGCTGCTAGAGTCGGATTTCTATTTAAGAATACAGTGCAATGCAGACCTGTGACAACAGTGCCTAAGAACAGATGAAACATCAACACTAGCGTCTCATAAAGCCTAAAGAAAACACATTTTAACCTAAAGAAAACACATTTTGCTGTTTTCTCACTGAATGTTAAGCACAATTACTTTCTCAAATGAGAGTAGTTCACAGCTGTGATACATTTATCTGTCTGTCTGTCTGTCTATCTATCTATCTATCATCTATCTATCTGCCACCTAAATTTTTAAGAAGAAAAGCGATTCTTCTATTTGAGGAAATTTAAAAGAACAAAGTGAGGATTATCACTATAAATCATTATATTATGCCAAATGACAATGCAAAGCTTTGGTAAAGGTTTAAGTGTGTTAAATAAACCTTTATTTACATGCTCTTTTAAAATACGCTCTCATCTAAGCCTGACAAACATTCTTTAAAAAGTGTTGCATAAATTGCAATGTGAACCCCAAGGTCATCTCACTAATATCCCTTTATCCAATATATCTTGTTTGAGAATTCTCTTGAAAGGATCGAAGCATGTCAGATAAATTAAATAAAAGGAACAGATGTAGATTAAGAGTGATGTACATTCTGAGCTTGAACTTTTAATTTCACTAAATATTATTTTCCATCTTCATGATCACATTATATTGAAATGTTGGAACTTCAATTTTCTCTACTATTTCATTTCATAAAGCCTCTGTCTCCTCTGAACTCCTAAGGAGATGTTAGCTTTAAATCACTTTGACTTCACCCTTTGCAATTTACATATGTTGAAGAAATAAAAGCCTTTTCAAGAGTCACCATGGGGGCCTGAGAGGCCTCAAAGGAGTATTAAGATCTCGAGTCTAATGTGAGCTTCCTTGAACACAAAACACAAATCCTCCCTCTGGAATACTAATGGCTTTTGTGTACGGTTACACAATAGTTGAGGACTAGCCTGTGTATAAAACAGCCTTTGTGCTTGTGATTGAGAAATGCAACTCCAGCTCTGGGAGGAAAAAGGAGCTTTCCAGGGGTGGTTATTACATAGCCCAATTTACACAAGAATAATTAACAGAAACTTAGAAAGGCTGAAAAGCAGTACATACTCAAACTCTAATTCATGGGTTGTGCAGAACATGACTTGGGTTGAAACTCAGGTTTCTATTGTTAGAAGAAAAACTTTAGACAAATTAAATGTAATAGTTTAATTGAGCAAAGAATGATTTGTGAATCAGGCAGCCCCCAGAACCAGAATAGGTTCAGAACAACTCAGGAGCCGCTACATGGCTGAATAACATTTATGGATAGAAAAAGGAAAGTTACACACAGAAAAGGGAAGTGAGGAGCAGAAACGACTGGATTGGTTACGGCTTGGAGTTTGCCTTATTTGAATATGGTTTGAACAGTGGGACCCTGTGATTAGCCAAAAACCGGCTACCGTGATTGGCTGAAAGTAAGCTATTTGTTACAAGAGTAGGTTACAATTTGAGGTGTGAGGATCACTCAGGAATTTGAGGTTGCAATGAACTATGACCTGCTCACTGCTCTGCAGCAGCCTGGGCAACAAAGGGGTTGACTATCTCTGGAAAAAAAAGAAAAAAAGAGGGGTAGGTTAAAATCTGCTTACACATCCAGTTAGGTTACAGTAAACTAGGTAAAGAGAAACCTTTAGGTTGAACTTAAAATATGTAAAGAGGCAAATTTAGGCTAAACTCAATTTAACACTATAAAGATTCATTTAAAAGGGTATTTTCGATATCTAAAATGTAGTGATGAGTTTCATCTTTGATAAATAACAGTGGATTTACTCGAAGTTATCAGCTTTCTCAAAGCTGCAGTTTTAGTTTATTTTCTGAGAACATATGCTTGGTTTTAAATATCAACAGGATTCATTGCCAGAGCTCAAAAAGTTCAGGGCATGCTGATTTCCTGAAATAACCTGTGTACTGCATTTATAATAGAACTTTCCTATATAATTCACACGTCATTAAACAGGCCAGGAAGGTTTTAAACATGACAGAGTGCCAAAATGTGTTACAAAATTCTTGGTGACGTTTTGGGTCTAGAAAAACCCAAAAGTTCATAAAAGCAACAATGAAGAATGCAAGCTGGAGCAAATCCTTGTTCTTAAATATGGCTGCACAATGTATCACTTCAAGAATTAAAAAATATATATATAAATAAAAAAATAAATAAGAATATCTGGGAGCTACTTTAGATAAAAATGAATTGGAGTCTCTGGGACTGCGTTGTTCCATACAGGAGCCACTAGCCCAGGACCACTGCTGAGCAGGTGAAGGTGAGAAGCCTGAATTAAGATGCACTGTAAGTGTAAAACTCACATTGGATTTCAAATATTTACTCTGAAACCAACCGATATACTGACAGACTCAATATACTGACAAAGACTCAATATGCTGACAAAGACTTTGAACTATCTTTACACAGGCTCCTCTGAGCAATCTTTTCAACTAGGTCTTGTTCTTGAGCCCTCTCCTTAACCAATCTGCCAAGCCCAGTTTTAGTAAAAATCCTACTAATTTAATTTAGCAAGAATCTCTCCACCCTTGGTAGCTAATCACCCTTGATTTCTGATCAAGTTTCTCCCCATCTACCCTTAATGTCTTTGGCCTGCCTTTAGAAAGAAACCTGTTGAACCAGTTTTGCAAGAATTCGTCTATACTTGACTTTGCCTCTTAAAAATTTTTTATCCACTGACCCCTCGATTCTGCTCATTGGCTGTAATTTGCCAGCTGTCTAGGTTGTATTCAGAGTTGAGCTCAATCACTTGTTTATTGTAATATTTTTGAATAATATCTATCTTTCTCTTTTTAACAAGTTTCCAGTGAAGAATTTCTCTTTAACAATATGAAAGAATATTTTTAAAATCAATATTTTTATATGGATTGCATGTTAAAATGATATTTGGAATACATTGGTTTAAATAAAATATATTATTAGTCACCTGTTTCTTTTTACTTTTTTCCTAAGGTAGCTACTAGAAAATTTAGTTAAATATGTGATCTGCATTATATTTTTATTAGATAGCCCTGCTCTGGGAGTGATACCTGGGCATCAGTAGAAGACATTCCAGGTGATTAAATGTGCAGCCTGGATGGATGGTGACCTTGAATCTTTAATTAAACTAATGCTGGAAAAAAAATTGCATATATTTTATACCAATGTTATAGATTTTACTATGTGATAAATGTGATGATATGAGCTTTACCCTTAACTTATCATAGCAACATGATATGGTAAATATTTATTATCCCCATTTTATGCATAGTAAAACGAAGCATGGGAGACAAAGTGTCTTCTTGCCCTACATCAGAGAGGTAGGGAAGGGTCAGTATTTGAAGTCAGCTAATTTGAATCAAGAGTTCCCATTACCCATCATTCCTGACTATTAGAGATATTCTAGCATAGGCTAAGTTGAGCTGATTTTGTACTTGAAATAGCAACATTAATGAAATGGATATGAATTACACTATATTTAATGCCTTCTATATATTTGCAGTTTTTAAAGCCAGCATATATATGTTTGACAATCCTCACAGGCATTTATATAGGTGCTATCATCCCCATTTTATCAATTAAAAGACAAATTCTCAGATCAATTAAACTTGCCCCAAAGTCAGGTCAGACTTATCTCACATACGTCTCCCATAAAGGTTGGCTTGGTAGTCCTGCTTCCTTCTTGGCACTACAGTAAATTAACTCTTTCAAGAGGCTCCTGTGCTTTAAGTATAAAGCATATTTTCATCTGATTTAGATCATATTACTTATTGACAAAGAGTTTTTGAGCCAGCTAGTTCGGGGGTTAGTACTTGAATCTTTGCCATGGTATTGAGTCAAGTACGGCCTTGGGCAAAGAACATGGAACAAGGTGTTAGATTCGTCAAATGCAGATATCAATCTTAAGAGATTGGTTAAAATGCCATCTCAAATAGGATGCTTTCTTAATTATTATTATTTTTTTTAAGAGACAGTCTCACTTTGTCACCCAGGCTGAAGTGCAGTGGCACAATAATAACTCACTGCAGCTAGACATCCTGGGCTCAAACGATCCTCCCCCATCAGCTTCCTAAGCAGCTGAGACTACAGCCACAAGCCACCATGCTCAGCTAGTTTTTATTTTTATTTTTTTGTAGAGACAAGGTCTCTCTGTGTCCTGTGTCATCCATGCTGGAGTGCAGTGGTGCCCTCGAACTCTGGGCTCAAATTAAAATCTAATTTTTTTGTAGAGATGGGGTCTTGCTTTGCTGTCCAGACTCATCTTGAACTCCTGGTTTCAAGTCATCCTCCTACCTTAGCTTTCCAAAGTGTTGGAATTACAGACATGAGCCACTGCATCCAGCCAGCTTTCTTAAATCCTTAGTAATATTTTTCATTTTTGTTTTCAAATATGGCTCTTCTGCTTTTGTTCTCAGCACTCTCTTTTGTTGTCCTTAATTCTAATGTCCATGCTATTTGTATATTAGCATCTCTAGACATCTCTTCTTCAGGCTAAATTATTGGACTGAACAATACAAGCATGAGCCAGTGTCCTAGAATTGAAGAAGCATAAGCTTTGGCATCAGAGGGCCATAATTTATTGACTTCCAAGTGACCTCAGCCACATAACTTCATATGGGAAATAAAGAAATGTATATTACTTTTTCATTTGTATGAATTAAATGAGATTTCTATAAAAAATAATTGAGCATGGTGCTAAGGCCAGAGTAGGTAGTTAATAAAAATGGAAGATCCATTTGCCCTTTCCTTTCCCTCTGTCCCCATAAGAAAGGATACATACACTTCAACAGATTCACAAGCCACTCATATAATACACACATATACACACCCACACTTTAGCCAAGAATGTTGTGTTCTGGTACCAACATGGACCAATAATACCCACAAAGTTCCCAACAGGACAATTTCAACACTCATTATTGACCCTAAATCCCTCCTCCCTTACCATTTGTTATCTCCACTCTTTACTCACAAGTGATGCATATTTTGAGTTTCTGTCCAAGAACATATCACCCCCACTTTTACTTGTGTGTTTTGCGTTGTCCTACAAGATATGCTCAAACCCTGACCCATAGTCCTATGGCCGATAATTTTTGGCCATGATCATCCCACCCAGGAGACAACTAGTTTCCTAAAGCCTGAATTCTGTGTATATCCTTTCTATTTTCATACAAATCTCCTCTGCGGTCATATTAGCCAATTTATGCCAAATTTTTCCTACTTTGTTTTTTAACGCATAGATTCAATGCTAAGTCTTGTCTAGTAGATCAAATGGAATGGAACATTCTCTGGAAACTAGGATTTACAAGAGAGAGCTCATCAGCTTAGTAAATCAGAAAATATTCCCCAATCCCTTCCCTTGCCGCCTAAAGCCAGAACTACTTTTACTACCAACTTACCGTTTAAGGAATGTGAGGTAGAGACTATTAATCGTCTATAAAAATCCACATCTTTCACAGAGAATTTTAGCTAGATCCATCAGCATTATTCCCCAGTCTCCTTTCTGAAATATAGTTTGACTTCTGCTGGTATCATCTGAGATCAGTGATGTGGCTGAAATTTTCTGGAGGTTCTCCTGTGGCCACAAGATCCAAGTTGACCTTAGTCATAGGTCTGGCTGTTGGTGTTTGCAATTGTCAGAGCAACTTTCTCTGTTGCCTGTGTCCATATGGTCTCTCATCATTCAATAGTCCAGCCCAGGGATCTTCATACGATCATGGTGGTGATCTTTCACAGTGGGATTTGGTGTGAAGTAATGTGTGCCAGTTTTAAACTTCTACTTTATGACAATAAGCATTAATTTTCCATGATGTGATTTTTCTCTTTCCTTCTTTATCTCTTTCCTTCTTTATTTCTCTCTTTCCTTCCTTTTTCTTTTTTCTTTTTTTTGTTGAGACAGGGTCTTACTCTGTCACCCAGGCTGGAGTGCAGTGTGCAGTGGCACAATCACAGCTCACTACAGCCTCAAACTCCTGGACTCAAGCCATTCTTCCATCTCATCCTCTTAAGTTGCTGAGACTGCAGTTGTGCACCACCCTGCCTGGCTAAGGTTTTTATTTTTTGTAGAGATGGGGTCTCGCTGTGTTGCCCAGGTTTGTCTTGAACTACTGGGCCCAAGGAATCTTCCTGCCTTGGTCTTCCAAATTGCTGTGATTACAGGCATGAACCACTGCACCATTTTCCCCATGATTTCCTTCCTTTTCTCACCTGCTGGAAACCACACATGGTGATGACTCTGCTTCAAACATGTTGATAATCCTATTGGAACTATGTGTGGCTTATCAATAACTAAAAAGAGCCTGGGTCCTTGAACGATTGTGAGGATTGCAATTAAGCTACTGACCTGGCCTGTTTAACTGCCCAAATACATGAGAAAAACATAAATAATGCCTTGTTCTTCAAGCTGCTGTTTTGAGGCTCACCCTACCCCGAAACAAACCAAGTGGAGAACAAATCCAGCAAGAAGCTTTATAGTAGCTAACACGAAGATGAAGCACAGTAAGCTCAAGATTTTCACATTAACCGAAACCCAAAACAAAATGTCAAATAGGCATATTCCAATTAATGGAATCAGAACACAAAACTTTTTCCTCCCAAATCCTCCCAAATTGAGGGGGATAACAAAATGAAAGAAAAGTGAAACCGTTTCTACCATGATGAAAACCATATAAAGAAGGGTTGTCTTTGTCTTGATATGAAATATCAATACCTATGAATATTAACATCTAATATAAGAATATTAAAAAGAGAATATAATGACCTGAGCTATAAGTTTGTATAATGACAAATTCAGAACCACCATGCTGTCACTGAAACCTTATTAAGAATAATCGTCATTAAGTGACGATTGTTCTTTTACAATTTTCTTTTCATTTAGTTGTATCTACCGTGTGGCCAAGATCAATGCAATTTGTAAGTTTTACAGGACAGTTGAAGGAGGAGAGTTAAGTGATAGCATTTGAATAGCCCATAAAACATCAATTCTTATTATATGGGGGATAGTCACCTGTGGTTATTAAGTAAACTTCCCTAGAATGTTATTAGTATTTTGTGTGGTTTTGAAAATATTCTCAAGGTTGTTCTTAAGAGGGTGAGAAATGGGGGAGAAATGGGGGAGTCCTCCTTTCCCTCACAGTGATAGCAACCTCTAATTCATTCTCTAGAGGCCACTTCTAGTCACACTTATCTATTAACTAAGAGAAAGTGTCCTAGAAAAAAGGATCCTGAAAAGAGGTAGTGAGTATTTGTTTTAATGGTGAACTTAGATACATCTTTTTACTTCCTGTCTTAAAGGCCATCTCTCTCTCTCTCTCTCTCTCTCTCTCTGTCTCTCTCTCATTTGGAACTGATTTCATGGTTTTAAATTCCAGCTTTCTGATGCACAGTGTTTCTTATTAACTCTTCCCTGTTGTGCTTGCTCACCTAATTATCTCACCCTCTCTCCTGTGTTTTAGTTTCTAATAGGTTTCCTTTTCACAGCTCACTGGATAGCCAAGAGTTTTTGGCAATAGGAGTTGGGCTTATTCTGAAAGTGTACTGGAACTGCAAGGGATTCAAGGGTTCTGAATTGCAACAACATCATTCCACAGATGATGAGACTGAGGCTTAAAGATGGAGAAAGCTCATTTTCATTGTCATTAGATAACGTGTGGCTAAGGGAGGATACCACGTCTAATCAGGAGTTATCCACAGAATTATGTTATCAGCATACAATCTCCACTGACTTTTTCCTACTTGGTCTCTTTCTTCCTTATTGAACATGGCTATGAATGTAATATTTGCCAAGGACTTCTTCAGTATTAAGTTTTCAAAAGAAACAGCTTCTTCTAACTTATTTTGCAAAAATTTTTTAACTTTTACTTCTCAATAGGTAAAAGTTATTGGGACATTATGACTATAAACAAAAACAGAGGCCTAATTTTCCTATGTGTGACTTCAGTTGTTGCTTATTTTTACCTACCCAAATCTGACCCATTTACTAAATTCTTCTACCAGTGAGCTACCCTAGGCTATTCTAGAAAACCGTTTCTTCCTCCCATTAATTCCTAATACAGAAGGAAGCCTTTACTGCTATGTTGACAATGGCAGGTTTTTTTTTTTCCCTTCTGAGTGGCTTTTCAGTTTCTTCTATGATTCTCTCTTAACTTTTTTTTTTTTTTTCTTTTGAGGCAGAGTCTCACTCTGTCGCCCAGGCTGGAGTGCAGTGGCGCGATCTCGGCTCACTGAATGCTCCGCCTCCTGGGTTCACGCCATTCTCCTGCCTCAGCCTCCCAAGTAGCTGGGACTACAGGTGCCCGCCACCACGCTCGGCTAATTTTTTTGTATTTTTAGTAGAGACGGGGTTTCACTGTGTTAGCCAGGATGGTCTCGATCTCCTGACCTCGTGATCCACCCGCCTCGGCCTCCCAAAGTGCTGGGATTACAGGCGTGAGCCACCGTGCCTGGCCCCTCCCTTGACTTTTGTATCAGTAGTCAGTATATTTCTTTGAGCCAGAAGCCATGTGTTGTATGTAGTATTGATTGCCCAGTAACTCATGAGTGGAGTAAGCTTACATTTGTTGAGTTCTTACAATGTGCCATTTACTCTGCAAAAAGTTAACAGATGCCATTTTATTTAATCCTTATGAAAAAACCCTTGAGGTAGGGCTTATTACCCCCATTTCACATAAGAAGAAAACTAAAGTGCAGTGCAAACACCTAAAAGAACTTCTCCAAGAACTAAAATATAGTGAACAATAAAACAGACAAAATCAGATCATCTGGCCCCCAGCAGTGTTTGTTCCACTAAATGATATCAGCTGTCCTTACAATTTGGCACACAGAACTTAATAGGTTCCGAATTATAAGAATATGTAGATTTTTCTGAATTTATGAAGATATATGTATATGATATTGTATTATCATAATTATTACAGCTATATTGTATTATTACAATTATTATATTGTATGTATTATATACGTCAATGTATATGTGTGTGTATTTATAATTGTTAACTTATAAGCATGATTCAATCTAAAGACTTTCTGAATGGTTAGGATTTTAAAAATACTAATTATGATTTTCAGTTTGAGCAGTTTAAATCTGTATTTTCTATCTAATTGATGTGTTGCAAGAGGAGACTGTACTCAGACAAGGATGTTAGCCAGTTCTCAGAAAATCATTTGCAGTCGCTTTATGCATCGTCTAAGAATAGTTTTCAATGTATGATTTAACACAGAGCTGGTAACACAGACTCAAAATCTAGGATAATTTAATAAGTAAAAGTTTGACCATTAAATAGGAAATAATTTTAATCATGAAAATGTATCTAATGAATTTGAGATACAACTCTTACGAGAGTATTTTTCTTTCAGCCTATATTGTTGACAGATGATCTTTTATAAACAGGCAACAATCATAAAGCTTGCAGAAAAAGGTAACTCTCTTAAATAGAATTATTTTTAAATTTCATCATTGTCTACCCATTCAATGCTTATATTCAAGCATATTCAAGCATGTCCACCAGTTTAATATTAAAAGCTGTAATATTTTATAGGCAACTAAATATTTCTGCAAATATGTTTGGCACTTGAAAGTTGGAATTTAATGGATAGAGTTGGTGGCCTTGTTCTACGAAAAGCGAAGTCACGTAAACACTCACAGTGAAGACTGGGAAGAGTCATATGCAATGCAGAGCTCAAATACTTTAGAGCAATGGACAAAATGAACAAAATCAGAGACAAATTTACCAGTGCAATCCAGGGACAGTGACTTCCCTAGAACAAACTTTTAAAAATTAGTTCAAGTGACCATGAATAGTCTCATTTTATAGTTAATATAGTGTTTATGAACATTAAGGGTATTGGTTATGTAGATGAGTATAATAAGCACTACCAGTTTTTAGTAGACAGTATTTGGGAGAATGGGCTGAGAAAGTGTTCCAAATTACCTATTTCTGTATATTTAATAATAGCGATATCACAGTTTTTCTAGTATTTAATAATAGTAACAATATGAAATTTATTGTAGTTTTTTTCTGAATTACATTAATAATAATGGCTTATGTGTATATATAATCAGTTAATATTTAATGACAATGATTTGATAATAATGTTGGATATAGTAATACTTCATTAAAGAAACTTTTATTCTCCTTAATATATTGTCAATATTGTAATAATTTATTTATTAATATTCCAGGTAATATGCAGAGACCAGTTTTAAGACAATATGATTGAATTGTAATGGCCTTTGGATGATGGGCTTTTTGTCTAAACCAAGGCCTGGAAAAAAATGGGAGCTTAAAGGTGGGGTATCAAGATAACAAATATTCAAGAAGATGGAGAGAAGTAGGGTTAAGGAGAGAGTGTTTTAATGCTCGTTGATTTGAATTGCATTTCTGTTTCACTACTTTGCAGTCATAAAAACTAGATTCAAATAGAAATGCCATCATGTTATTTTACATAGCTAATTAACCTCATGTAGTTGGATATAGTCCATTCAAAAAATTCTCATTGGCCGGGCACGGTGGCTCACGCCTGTAATCCCAGAACTTTGGGAGGCTGAGGCGGGTGGATCACCTGAGGTTAGGAGTTTGAGTCCAGCCTGGCCAAAATGGTGAAACCCCGTCTCTACTAAAAATACAAAAATTAGCCGGGTGTGATGGTGAGTGCCTGTAATCCCAGCTACTCGGGAGGCTGAGGCAGAAGAATTGCTGGAATCTGGGAGGCGAAGTTTGCAAGTGAACCGAGATTACGCCATTGCACTCCAGCCTGGGTGGACAACAGCGAGGCTCCGTCTCAAAACAAACAAACCAACAAACAAAAAACAAAACAGAACAAAAAAATTCAATATTTCTTGTTCTACTGTACTGATCTCTGCACCTGTTTCAGAAGAAATATTTAGTCAACAGTCACCATTTAACACACATTTGTTAAGTATTAAGCAATGTCTGTGCTAAAAACTGGGAATACAGTGGTCAAAAATTTAGACAGACATCCTGCCCTCACTGTGATCACAGCCTTGTGTACATCTCTCTCTTCCCTCTCCTTTTTCTGTTCTCTTTTAATGTGTTAAGAACTAAGATATGGTACATATCTTTCAAGAAGAAATTGTGTCTAGTGTAAACTTTCCTAGCCACTACCACAGTGCCTTCATCTCAGTATGCAACATTCACAGAGAGGAAATTCACTGAAAGCCACAGTGCTCTTATGGTATGCCATAGCTGTGTACTTTTGCTTATTTCCAATTCTGGTTTCTTGACTCTACAGAATTTCTTCCTTGTTGCCTTCCTTCCCTCCACCACCTCCTCCTTTCACTCCCTCTTTTTCCTTCCTTCCTTCCTTCCCTCCCTCTCTCCCTTTCTTTCCTTCTTTCCTTTTCTCTCTCTCCTTCCTTCCTTTTTTCCTTCTCCATCTTCATCTTTTATTCCTCTTCGTTTTTCTCCTCCTCCTCTTCTTCCCCCTCCTTCCCTTCTCTCTCCACTCTTCTCCTCTTCCTCTTTTCTCTCTCTCTTCTCTCCTCTTTCGCCCCTCTCCTCTCTCCCCTTTTTCTATTCTCTTTCAATCCAGAGACTTACGGATAAAACATGAAGTTGAGCTCTAGAAACTCAGTATTATCAATGCTGATATGAAACCACTGTAAGTAAGTGCTTCAACTGACTTGTGAGGCATGAACAGCACAGTTGAGTATGATTAGGAAAGGTAGGAAGATCACATAAGAGGAAGGACTGTATTTTTTTTATCACATCAATATTCAATGGGCATCACTTCTATTCTTAAGCTCTCCATCCTCAAGGAAATACAACTGCCTACTTGAAAGGTAATGGCATGAATAAATAGAGATAATTTAAGTTTTTGGTCTGAAACAACCAAGTTGGTTTGTAGCAATTTCTGAACTCAATTTTTGGACTCTGCATTATTATGTATAATGGGTTAAACACCGTCATGAAGATATACTGTTTTGCTGTACATGTTAACAGAATTGACTATATGCTTCCATTATCAGAGTAAGCCTAATTTACAACATCATTTTAAATAAAAGTGAAAAAGACAGATTTCTAGACTGGTTTCCTGATAGTTATCTTACTTTAAAAATAATTCCCAGCAATATATATTTGCTCTGTGCAAGGCTAAGACATCATTGAAATAATACTTGTGTGAGCCATTTCTATAGTAAAGCATTACCTACTTTTCTCAATTAATTGATTAAAATCACAGCAGCTACCAGGAATCCCCTGAATACCATCCAAGTCCCTGTATTTTTTTTTTCCAGAAGATGTTTTAGTTTTTTAAACAATTGTTTTGAAGAACAGTTGAAGATTAATCTTAATGGTATTTTACGACCATAAAGTTATTTCTAAATTATTGTTATTGTATCATGCCCATGGACACTTTAGGAAGACATAAATCAGCTTGTCTTATTTTTTGGATCAGTGATTCTGTTGCCAGAAACTCATGTGATGACAGGATTTTTATACAATGATGCATTTATACACACAACAAGGATGGAAAATTGTATAATTATATAAAAAGCAACACATATTGAATTTATATAAATCATACTAAATGATGGGTTTCAATGCTTGAAAATCTATCGGGTGAGAAATATCACATATGTAAGTTCTACGTATAGTATGCTTTGTAACTACTCAAACCACTACATTTCCAATAAATAGGTTTTAAGTGGATTCTTAGGCCTAGGTTGACTTAAGAATCACAACACTCTCTTCATTAGATAACACTAAAGATCAGGACACTGAGATCCAATTTAGATCACGGTTGATTGCTTCAAGCTCATCAGCTGGTAAATATTTTAAAAGTTATTTTATTCAATGAAATGTAACTAATATAAATGTAAATAAAAAGAAGGCCTGTTCCTCTTGAAGCAGCAATGGATTGCTGAGTCCTGTGCCATGGATTTCCTTTGTCTCCTATATTGGACTTTAATAGAGGTTAGCTAAACATCAGGGCTCCAAGCAATCCAACTGAAGGGCCCACACTCTAGATTATGGTATAGCCACAGGTATCTTAAACGAAATTTATAGCTCTGCTTTTCACTATGGTGGTCATTAGTCACGTGGCTATTTAAATTTAAATTAGTCAATTTTTCTTTTTAAAAAACATAATTTTTGTTGCACTGGTTACATGTTAAATGCTCATAGTTACATGACATGTTAAATGCTCATAGTTACATGACATGTTAAATGCTCATAGTTACATGTGGCATGTGGTTACCATATTGGAGAGCAGAAATAAAGCACAGTTCAATCATACGTACTTCTTCAGACAGATCTGCGAGCTTTATGATGGCAAGAAACTTTTTTTTTTTTTTTTAATTGAGATGGAGTTTTGCTCTTGTTGCCCAGGCTGGAGTGTAATGATGAGATCTCAGCTCACTGCAACCTCTGCCTGCCGGGTTCAAGCGATTCTCCTGCTTCGGCCTTCCAAGTAGCTGAGATTACAGGTGCCCGCCACCATGCCCAGCTAATTTTTGTATTTTTAGTACAGATGGGGTTTCACCATATTGGCCAGGCTGGTCTCAAACTCCTGACCTCAGGTGATCCACCCTCCTTGGCCTCCCAAAGTGCTGGGATTATAGGCATGAGCCACAGTGCCTGGCTGGAAGATCTTGTTCATTGTAGTATACTTAGTACTTTGCACAGGGCATGGCCCATAAGAGATGCTCCAGAGACTTACTGGAAAAACAATGTGTACATATATGTGTGTGTGTATATATATATGTATGTGTGTATATATATACATGTATGTATATAAATATATATATGTATGTATATAAATATATATATATATAGTAGATTTATTGGGAAAACTATATATATAGAGTTACTTAGCCCCAGGGAACAAGCGAGGAAAGATATCCAAAGTTTGAACTGTGTGCTTTCCTTTCTTAAGAGATGACAAATTAATTGGGGGAGAGGGGGAGTTGACAACGTGTATGTTTATATGGAAGCCTGCTTGAGTTACTCTGAAGAAAGCCTTCAGTCCCCAACTAGAGTATTACATGTAAATTCACGACTATTAATGGGAGATTGTAAGATGCCTATTTCCCTGACGCTCTGAATATGTTAATGTAACAATTAGTTTAGCATTTTCCCTTCCTATGCACATTCAGTTCAACCATGTTAGCTCCATGTGCCTTTGGCTCCCAGGTTTCTCTGGCTTTTTATCTTCCTATTCTCTCTTTATAATATCTACTTTTACCTTTTTCATGTCACCTCCCGCTGTGTCTAGACCTCCGTTCTGAACTCCAGATTCCTGCGGCCAGCAAGACAGCATCTTGTCAGATCTTTAGCGCCTTGAGGGCAGGGCAAAGGACTAGTTACGCATTATTTGAAGATGTGTTTTTGATGATCATCACATTGACTAAGTTCATGATGTGCTCACGAAATATTGTTTGAATTAACTGGAATGCGTTGTGTTTTTGTCTTCTTTGATCCTTCTCCCATCGAACTTAAAGTTTATAGTAAAACTAGGAAAGGAGTTCAATAATGGGCCAGAAAATGAAAGACACACTAACCAACAAAACCATGAACACTGCTTATTTAAAATCACTGTTTCAGTTGAGCTCAGTACTTTCTGGTAAGAAAAAAAAAATTAAAAAGTCAGCACCAGGCATCACGTCTGAGGCAGGAGAGGAAAATAAACACAAGATACAAGTATCCACCAAGGAATCTAGAAAAACCTGCAGAAGGAATGGCATGGGAGAAAATGTGTATCTGGTTTACAATGCACTCTGTGGTTCAACAATGAGTACCCACTAGTAATCTTATTTTGTGTGGTATCTGGAGTACTGCATGGAAAAGAAATTGCAACTAGACATATATACAAACATTTTTAACATGAGTAGAAACAACTACTAAAGCTCTAGCAAACAAAGAAGAGTACGTGCCCATCCAGTGTTCTGTGTGATCACAAAATTTTCATTTGACCATAATAATTTACATTTTGCAACCTCTCATTTTAATGTGTTCTCATTAAATTAGCAGCTATGTGTTCTTGAAATATATGAAATCTCTTGTGACAGAAATGTCTTTATTTCATATTAAAAAAAAGTGGAAGAGAATTCCAAATACTTTGACATTACTAATAAGAAAAACAAGATATTTTTAAATTTTTAATTTCTTTAGAGATCAGCTTGCTCCATGCTCAGGCTGGAGTGTAGCTGTACAATCACAGATCACTGTACCCTCAACATCCCGGGCTCAAATGATCCTTCTGCCTCAGCCTCTTGAGTAGCTGGGACTACAGTTATGTACCACCACTCCTGGCTAATATTTTATTTTTAGTAGAGACAGGGTCTCTTTATGTTGTCCAGGCTAGTCTCAAGCTCCTGAACTCAAGCAATCCTGCCTCAACCTCCCAAAGTGCTGGGATTACAGGCGTGAGCCACTACACTAGGCCAAGAATTAGATTTTACGACATTGAGATAAATTATGTAGAGTTTAAAGCTCCAGTATAAGATAATTAGTATCCCCCAGTTTGATTTCTATATATCTCCAATAAATCGTATCAAAATAAAAAGAATTTAGGTCTTTGTTATATTAATTGGACCTATGTAAATGTTGTTTTTTTTTTTGTCAATTCCCAGTATTATAAGTTGAAAAGCAACAAATCTATTTCAAAACTCAAGACACTTTAGTGCTTAGCCAAAGTAAAATCAAAACGGCTTTTAACGGATTAGTAAGGTCCACAGGCACAGATCTCGGAGCCTGCTTTATTTTATTTGCCTTGATTTCAATATTATTTATGAATGTACTTTCAGTCTCATCAATAGGATTCTTCTTTAGTGTTCTCTTTTGCAGTGGTTCTCCATTTTACAGATGATGAAAATGAAGGGCAGAAGTATCATTCAATTAAAAAGAAGTAGCTATTAAATAATAAAGTTGGAATTTGACAGGACCCAGATCCTACAGTTGGTCTCTGTTAGGGAATAGAAAAGGGATACACATTATTATCACAGGGAGGTAGGTGGGATCCCTTTAACATACTGTTCAAGAACAGTAATTTGGGCAAGGTTCTGGAATGGCAGCCTGAAAAGCTACACACCCCAGTGCAACAGGTGAGAACTATTTTTGAAAGTGGCCCTAAGGGTGAACGGCAAATGAAGAAATATCTGTTCAGGAACTTATATGAAAATAGGCAAAAAAATGCAGGAGTCTCTAATATTTGAATTAAGACTACACTGAGTTCTTGTTCCCCATAGTAATCAGAACAAGATATTTTTTCCTGGGTTAAGCAGGACGTCCGTGTTTCTTACTCTATCCCCGTTACATGTTGCAGAAGCTAAGTCCCAGGGGAACATAGTTGAGCGGTGGGGACTGCCTTCTTCTTCCCAGACACAACTTGAGAAAAAAAAGTTTCTATATTAGATGGAATGTGTTGAGAACACTGGGCTTTACTTACTCTTTACCCAGCTCATGAAGTAGTGATCCCATGCCACAAGAGACAATCTGAGGAAGGCTCAGGCTTCCACTTTCTCCCTGTGGAGTACTCAGCTATAGGTTAAGAACTTGACTTAAAGAGAAGCTTGTTATTCTTCCCACTCTGAACTCCAGAGATCTTTCCTGAAGAATGAGTCTATAGAAAGGTTAGCTTCTAATCTGTTCCCAAAGGACCTGATTTAATTTGCAACAGAGAGTGAAGAATTTCAAGCCTAAAGGTGCTCTAAAAAACAGTGGAGGTTGTGGTGAAAGGCAATTGGGACCAGATTCAAGATACAAGCCAAACTGTAGGTCTGATAGCTTGCAGAGAAAAATCAGGTAACAAGACAGCTCAGATGAGACTTCATTGGGTTAGAACAAAAATCAAACACTGCTCTTAGAAATTATTCCTTCAGGGCTAGGTACCAAGGCTCATTCCTGTAATCCTAGCACTTTGGGAGGCCAAGGCAGGAGGATCTTTTGAGGCTGGGGGTTCAGGACCAGCCTGGGCAACATAGTGAGATCCTTTTTCTGCAGAAAATTCAAAAATTAACTCCGTGTTGTACACATGCCTGTAGTCCCAGAATTTGGGGAGACCAATGTAGGAAGATCACTTGAGACTGGGAGTTTGAGACAAGCCTGGACAACAAAACTAGACCCTCATCTCTACAAAAAATAAAATAACAATATCTGGGCATGGTGGTGCAAGCCTGTAGTCCCAGCTACTCAGGGAGGCTGAGGTGGGAGGATCACTTTATCCACAGAATTTGAGGGTACCACGAGCTAAGTTTAAACCACTGTACTCCAGCCTGGTTGATGGAGTGAAATTGTGTCTCAAAATAAAAAATAAAAAAGAAATTTCTTCAAAAGTGCCAGATTTGGACTGGATTTGTTTGTAGAGCAATGTATGCCACAGGGCATTGTTGACAACAATAGAGCAATTAGCCCACAATTAATAGAGTAAAACAGCTCAGTGGAGTCAGCGAAAGAGAAGAGAGCCCTTCCAAACCCACTGTCTTCCTAGGGTGATGTGGGCATACACAAAGCTGGGCCTTTCGGAGGAGTGTAAAAAGCTGAATACTGTGGGTGAGTGGGGGTGGGGGGAATAGATTTTAACAAAACAAACCATTCAGTCACTAAACAAGTAAATAAACAGAAACAATAACAAACCATCGGAGAGAGACAATATCCAGAACTGTTACAATGTATTATTTAAAACATCCAGTTTCTAACAACAACAGCAAAAATGTGACGCATCTAACTAAATATAAAAGTACTACCCATACACCAGCACAAAACAAAACAAAACAAAACAAAACAGGTGTAAATGGAAAATATCTTGGGCCCCCAAAATCACTAAAGGAAAAAGTCAAGCTGGGAACTGCTTAGAGCAAACCTGCCTCCCATTCAATTCAAAGCCACCCCTCTGCCCACTGAGATAAATGCATATCTGATTGGCTCCTTTGGAGAGGCTAATCAGAAACTCAAAAGAGTGCAACCTTCTGTCTCTTATCTACCTATGACCTGGAAGGCCCCTCCCTGCTTTGAGTTGTCCTGCCTTTCCAGACAGAACCAATGTTCATGTTACATATGTTGATTGATGTCTCATATCTCCTTAAAATGTATAAAACCAAACTGGCTCTGACCACCTTGCGCTCATGTAGCCAGGACCTCCTGAGGCTGCATCAGGACATCCTGAGGCTGTGGCCCGGGCACATGTCCTTAACCTTGGCAAAATAAACTTTCTAAATAAACTGAGACCTGGATCAAATTTTCAGTGTTCACACAGGCAACAAAAATTGCCTGTGAGAGAAACTATATCAGAATTAACAGAAAAGGACTCCACATGAGCCATTATATAGATATATATTCATGACTGTTCAGAAAACTAAAGCTAAAGAAGGGAAGGTATGATGACACTGTTGTATAAACTAGAAAACATCAATTAAAAGATAAAAATATTTTTAAAAATTATGAAAATTGAAATAGAATTCAATTTGAAAATTGAAATAGGGTTCAAATTGAAGGAGAGTTGAAAATTAAATAACTGAAATGGAAAGTTCTCTCGGAGGACACAACAGTAGATTTGAACTGGCAGAAGAAAGAATAAGCAAACCAGAAGATCAATCAACAGAGATGATGTGAGTTGAAGAACAAAGAGAAAAATGAATGAAAAGCAAAAATAGAGACAGCCTCACAGATATATGAGACATCATTAATTACATCAACTTACATATCATGGAAGCACAAGGAAGAGAGGAAAGAGAGAATAAAGCAGAAAAACGATTCAAAATAACCACAGTAGCTAAAATTTCCCACATAAAAACAATAATCTGGCCTGGCACAATGGCTCATGCCTTTAATCCCAGCGCTTTGGATGGCTGAGGTGGGCAGATCACTTGAGGTCAGGAGTTTGAGACCAGCCTGGCCAACATGGTGAAACCCCGTCTCTACTAAAAATACAAAAATTAGCTGGGCATGGTGGTGTGTACCTGTAATCCCAGCTACTCGGGAGGCTGAGGTGGGAGAATCGCTTGAACCTGGGAGGCAGAGGTTGCAGCAATCCCAGATCGCCCCACTGCACTCCAGCCTGGGTGACAGAGGAAGACTCTGTTGCCAACAAACAAAACAAACAACAATAACCTACACATCTAGGAAGCCCAACAAACCCCAAGAAAGATAAGTTTTAAAAGATTTATGAGCAGACATAGCATAGTTAAAGTTCTGGAAGTTAATAACAAGCAGAAAATTTTGAAAGCAGTAAGAAAAACATGACTAGTTATTTACAGTAGAACACCAATAAAATTTACAGCTACTTCTCAGCAGAAACACAGGACACCACACTAGGCAGTGAATAATATTCTCAAAGTGGCCAAGGAAAAACAGAAGAAAAAAAAAGTCCTGCTAAACAGGAATTGTATTTCTAACAAAGCTATCTTTCCAAAATAAGGGCAACATGAAGTATTTTCAAGATAAACAAAAAGAAAAAGAATATGTTGCTGGGATACTCACCTCATAACAAGTACTAAAGCAAATTCTTTAGGCTAAAAGCAAGTAATCTCAGATAGTAATTCTAATACACACACACACACACACACACACACACACACACCCAATAAAGGCAATTACATAATTATTAAACAAAAAAAACTATCAAAAAAGCCTATTTTTCTTCTTTCTTTTCTTAAATGCCTTAAAAGCCATTTGTGTGTGTGTGTGTGTGTGTGTGTGTGTGTGTGTGTGTAATGAATTTTTGGGCTTATATTACAGGGAAATGCAATATGGGTACAATGTATTTGCCAATAGAGTCAAATGAGATGAGAGAGAACAGAGCTGTATTTTCCTGAAAATGACTATATATGGTAAAGCGATACTTTTAACAATGTATTTTTGGGCAAGAAACAATAAACAGATATAATAGATAAGACAGTAGTATGACAACATGGGGGAAAGGAAATAGAGCTATTAATGAGTAACATTTCTAAAAATCACTGGAATTGAGCTAATATAAATTAGAAGCTGATTTGAATAAGTTAAGGAACACATGATATACCTTATAATAACCACTTAAAAACTCAAAAATATGGTAAAAATTAGTAAAGAATTTTGCATGCTACATTAGAAAATATTTAATTAGTGCAAAAAATAAAAGAAGAATAGAAAAGAAAAACAACATGAAGCATATAGAAAACCAGAAGTCAAATTACAGGTACAACTCCAACTGTATCAATAATAACATTAAATGTGAATAAATTACATGACTCAATTGAAAGACAGAAATTGTCAGGCTGATTTTAAAAAAGCAGTATTCAACTTTACATTGCCCATAGCACATACACTTTAGATTCAATAGTATAAAGAGATGAAGAGTAAGAGAACGGAAAAAAATATTTATGTAAAGAAAACAGGACCAGAAGTAGGCTGGGCACGGTGGCTCACGCTTGTAATCCCAGAACTTTGGGAGGCCAAGGCGGGCAGATCACCTGAAGTCAGGAGTTCAAGACCAGCCTGGTCAACATGGTGAAACTCCGTCTCTACTAAAAATACAAAAATTATACAGGTGGTGATGGCAAGTGCCTGTAATCCCTGCTACTTGGAAGGCTGAGGCAAGAGAATCACTTAAACCCAGGAGGCGGAGGTTGCAGTGAGCGAGATCACGCCACTGTACTCCAGCCTGGGTGACAGAGTGAAACTCTGTCCCAAAAATTAAAAAAAAAAAAAAGAAAACAGGACTACAAGAAAGCAAGAGTAGCTATACTGATACCTGACTTAGGCTTTAAAAAACCAAAAATTCAGTATAGATAGATAGGGAAATTTTATTATGATAAAGGGGTCACTCTATGATAAAGACAAAACAATTATAAACATATGAGCTTAAAAACAGAGCACTGAAATAAATTGAAAACAAACATAAATGAATGAAGAAATAGACAATTCAACAATGATAGTTGGAGAATTCAATTCTCACTTTAAATAATTGATAGCACAACTAGAAAGAAAATCAGTAAGTAAACAAAAGACTTATACAACACTATTAGAGAACTAGATCTCACAGACACGTATAAAACACTATCCCCAAATAACAGAGTATTTATTTTTCTCAAGTGTACATTGAAACATCTTTAGGACAGACGATATAATAAGCCATACAAGAATTCCACATTTAAAATAATTGAAATCATGCAAAGTATGTCTCTGACCACAATGGGATGAATTAAAAATCAAAAGCCTAAAAAAAAACTGGGTAACGTGCAAATAAATTAAAGCATTAATAAATACCCACTGAGAAAAAAAATAAATTTTAAACAATCGGAAGATACGGCCAGGCGCAGTGGCTCACGCCTGTAATCCCAGCACTTTGAGAGGCCACGGCCGGTAGATCACGAGGTCAGGGGATCGAGACCATCCTGGCTAACACGGTGAAACCCCGTCTCTACTAAAAATACAAAAAATTAGCCGGTCGTGATGGCGGGCGCCTGTAGTCCCAGCTACTCGGGAGTCTGAGGCAGGAGAATGGCGTGAACCCGGGAAGCGGAGCTTGCAGTGAGCCGAGATGGCGCCACTGCACTCCAGCCTGGGTGACAGAGCGAGACTCCGCCTCAAAAAACAAACAAACAAACAAACAAACAAACAAACAAACAAAAAACAGAAGATGCTTTGAGATAAGTCAAAATAAAGACAAAAAATAGCAAAACTTGTGGAATGCAGTAAATGCAGTGTTTAGAGGGAATTTTATAGCTATAAATATCTGTATTAATAAGAAATAAATCAATAACTTATTGACAGCAAACTAAATTCCCGGCAAGAAAATAAAAGAAGTAATCAATATTAGTGGAGAAATCAATAAAATAGAGAGCAGAAAACAATACAGACAATCAATAAAACCAGCTGTTTTTAAAGATCAATAAAAGTGAAAAATCTTTAACAAGACTGATTGAAAAAAGACTCACTTTACTAGAATTGGAAATGAGAGACCTTATTACTAGATACTAAAAAAATAAAAATAGATAATGAAAGAATACTATACACAGCCGTATGGAAACATGTTTGATAACTTAAATGAAATGGACAAAATATCTAGAAAGACACAAACTATTGAAAGTAATGTAAGGAGAAACAGAAACTAAATTAAGGAGAAATACGAATAAACATATAGGAAGTAAAGAAATTGAAGCACTAATAAAAAAAAATACCCACAGTATCTATTACAAAATAAAATTAAAAAACAAAAACAAAAACAAAAAACAAATGAACAACCGATTAACAAAGAAATGAATGCCAGGGTTAGATGGCTTCACTACTGAATTCTTCCAAACATTTAAAGAAGAATCAAATCCAATTCCTCACAAACTCTTCCAAAAGATAGAGGAGGAGGGAACACTTCCCAATTCATTTATGAAGCCATTATTAGCCTGATACCAAAAGCAGACAAAGTCATCAAAACTGGCCTCCTTGTCTGAGGTGTCACCCGAAGTTCTTGGTTTTATGGCCATGGAAATTAAGGACGCGGACACCTTAAAGGTGAGGTTAGAACAGAAGTTTAATAAGCGAAAGGAAGAAAGCTCTTTGGAGCAGAGAGGGGTTCCAGAAAGATGGGTGGCCGTTTTACAAGGGAAGTGCAAGAGTGGTTTTTTTTTTTTTTTTTTTTTTTTGAGACGGAGTCTCGCTCTGTCATCCAGGCCGGAACGGAGTGCAGTGGTGTGATCTCTGCTCACTGCAAGCTCCGCCTCCCGGGTTCACGCCATTCTCCTGCCTCAGCCTCCCAAGTAGCTGGGACTACAGGCACCCACCACCATGCCCAGCTAATTTTTTGTATTTTTAGTAGAGATGGGGTTTCACCATGTTAGCCAGGATGGTCTTGATCTCCTGACCTCGTGATCCGCCCACCTCAGCCTCCCAAAGTGCTGGGATTACAGGTGTAAGCCACCGCACCCAGCCCAAGAGTTTTTATAGAAAAGCTGGAGGGGAGGGGTGCTTTATTTGCCTAAGGCGCGAATTTCTGAGTTTCCGCCTCTACCTTTTCTAGTGCGCAGGTGGACTTCTTAGACCGAGTTACTCCATGTTGTTTATCTCTTCCTGCTGCTCTGGTGTAAAAAAATGAACAAAAGGAACGGGCGGGGCAGAACACTTCGAGTGGATGTGCCTGGTTCAGGGTAACTCTTCTTATGGGTGCTGCTGCAGGCCCTCTCCCTGCACAAGCCTCCTTGTCTGAGGATTTCCAAGAAAAGAGAGAACTGTGCTTACTGGGGCCCACTGTCTGTCTGTCTGTTCACACAGGAGACCCCTTTCTGTGTTAGAGCTTGCCTTCCTTATCTGTGTTTGCAGCCTTATCTTTCAGGCTGCTCTATGCTGAGGGAAAAATGACCTCTTGGGCTGCTTCTTGTCAGAAAAGAGACTGCTTTTTGTTAGAACAAAATTCTACCAAGGACCCTTGCCCTAACTATCTGCCTAGTTGATTTCTCTCTCCTCTCACATCATCACAATGAAAGAAGATTGCAAACCAATAAATCTTGTGCATATAAACACAAAATCTTCAACAAAATGTTAGCAAATTATATCCAGCAACATATAAATCACATTATACGCCATGAGTAAGTGGGCTTTATCCCAGGGACACAATGTTGGTTCAACATTTGAAAATCAGTTAACTTAATACATTATATGAATGGAATAAAGCAAAAATCACATAGGCATTCTTTCATGATAAACATTACTCAACAAATGAGGAACAGAAAGAAAGGAACTTCATCAATCTGCTAAAGGACATCTATAACAACTCCACAGCTAACATCATACTTAATGGTGAAAGACCAGATACTCTCCTCCTAAGATCAAAAGTAAGACAGAAAAATCCACCCTTGCCATTTATATTTAACATTGTACTGGAGGTTATAGCCAAGAAAATCAGGTTAAAAAAAAATCATCTAAACTGAAAGAAATAAAAATAAACGATCTCTATTCAAAGATGACATGATCTTGTATATAGAAACTCCAAAGGATTTACAAAGCACTATTAGAATTAATAAACACATTTAGCAAATGTTCAGGTAACAAAATCAATGCGTAAAAATTAATTATATTTCTATACACTTGAAAATTCAAAAAATGAAGAAAATTCAACTTATAATTGCATCAAAAAGAATGAAATATTTGGTAAATTATCAAAATAATTCAAAACAAACAAAACTGCAAAATATTGTTTAATCAAAGAAGTTCTGAATAATTGGGAAAACATCTCTTATTCAAGAATTTGAAGACTTAAGTCTTCAATATTCATATTCATAGCTAAACTGGCAATATTCCCCCAAAATGATAAAGATTTGTAGAATTATTTGCAGAAATTTACCAGATGATGCTAACATGCCTATGTAATTGTAAGGACTCCAGAATAGCCAAAACAATCCTGGAGAAAGATTAATAAAACAGAAGTCCTATTTCCCTATTTCAAAACTTGCTACAAACCAATGGTAATCAAGACAGTCCTAGTTCAAGAGTAGACATATATATCAATGGAATAGAATTGAGATTCCAGAAATAAACCCACACATCTGTGCTTAATCAATTTTTGATAAGGTGCTAAGAGCATCCAATGGGCAAAAATATCTTTTTAGCAAGTGGTGTTAAGACAATTGTGTAGCCACATGTAAAATAATGAAGTTGCACCTTTATCTCACACCATGTAGAAAAAATAACTCGAAATAGATATATCTAAATAGTAGAGCTAAACATATACATCTCTTAGAAGAAAACAGGAAAATCTTCATGACCTTGAATTTGGCAAAGGATTTACTGATATGATATCTAAATCAGGAGGAACAAAAAAAAATTAACCTTTATTAAAATTAAACACTGTTGTGAATCAAAGGACACCATCAAGAAAATGAAAAGACAACCCACGAAATGG
Source organism: Homo sapiens (assembly GCF_000001405.40). NCBI lineage: Eukaryota > Metazoa > Chordata > Mammalia > Primates > Hominidae > Homo > Homo sapiens. The sequence continues at coordinate 64,005,779 of NC_000016.10, forward strand.
GAGAAAATATTTCCAAATTATATATCTGATAAGACATGCATTCATAATATTTAAATAACTCTTACTGTGGTAATGGTTGCAATATATCAGCAAATATTCTAAAAGCTATTGAATTGTTCACTTTATTTTTTTTCCCAGACAGGTTCTTTCTTTGTCACCCAGGCTGGGAGTGCATTGATGTGATTATAGCTCACTGTAACCTAGAACTCCTCTAAAACTCCTGGGATCAAGCAATCCTCTTGTCTCAGCCTCCTGAGTAGCTAGGACTACAGGCACGTGCTACCACAGTCGGTAATTTTTTTTTTTAATAGATGGGGTCTTGCTATGTTACCCAGGCTGTTCTCCAACTCCTGGCCTCAAGTGATCCCCCCTAGCCTTGGCCTTTCAAAGTGCTGGGATTACAGGCATAAGCCATTACACTAAGTGAATTGCACACTTTAAATGAATCATAATTCATATATGAATTGTATCTCAACGAAGCTGTTTTTAGAAGTAAAGAAAATAAAGAATAACAATTTTATGATAAATGGTTAATGAGGTGAGATAGAGATTGATTAAACTATGGAAAAATAGGATAAATATTAAGAATTCCATTTAAAAGACCATGAGAATTATTTCCTAGCGAAGTAGCAAGTATAATTATCCACATCTGTCATTATTTTCAAAATTAACTTTTAAGATAAATTTCAAAATAAATTTATTTATTGCATGTTTTTGATGCTTCAGTTCCATTTAAGCTTAGGTACTCAAAAACAGTTTTATGTGTCCACAAGGAAATTGCAACAAATCACAAAACTGTATGTAATTTGAATGTCTGAGAATAGGGGAATAATTGTGCATCAACTCTATGGAAAGCTATAACATAAAATTTATTATTACTATTATCACCATCAAAACAAAGAGACATTCAAATATAGCAAATAGCAGAGTACAGAATTGTATACACACTGTGATTTTAACTACGTTAAAGGTTTAAGAAGTGTAAACAGCTACTATTAATTAAGTGGTAATTCTGTGTTAGAGGATGTACTAGAAGCTTTAAAGATGCTATAAAATTAATCTCTGTAAGACACTAAATGCCATAAATTTTAAGATGCACCATCAAATTAATAACAATTCTTGGAGAGAAGGGAGAAAATGAAGGAACATTTTAAATCTGTGTATCAATTACCAAATTATTTTTAATTTTAAACTTATTATTTCCAGTCAAAGAGCAAAAACATCATTTTCCAAGGTTACTTAGGTCAGCTCTTTATTCCCCAATTCCTTCAATGAGGTGTGCTCATACTATGGGCTAAATTGTGTACCCCCAAAATTCTTATGTTGTAGCCTTAACTCCAATTTGAATATATTTGAAGGTGGGGCTCTTAGGAGGTAATCAAAGTTTAATGAAGTCTAAGGATGTGGTCATAGTATTGGTGGCCTTATAAGAGGAAAAAGAGACATTCTCTCTCTCTTTCTCTCTGTCTCTCTCTCTCCTCCCCCTCCCCCTACCCCCACTTCTCTCTCTCTCCACACTGCTAAGGAAAGGCAATATAAGGACACAGAGAGAAGAAGGTGGCTATCTGTAAGCCAGGAAGAGAGTCCTCATCAGAAACCCAACTGGCTGACACCTTATTTTTTGATTTCTTAGCTTCCAAATTTACTTATGATAAGTAAATTTCTGTTATTTAAGCCAGGCAGAATGTGGTATTTTTTATGGCAGCCCAAGCCGACTAATATAATTTGTAATATAGTTGTATGTTTTTGGGTGGGGTGGTCTAAGTCTTTATTCAGCTTTAGAACCCCAGACATCCTGGTTGTTTGTTAACTTTGCATAAATTAAAGTTCACTCTTTGTGATTCTATGAATTTTGCCAAGTGCAGAGTCATGTACCCACCACCCCAGCACCACACAGAGCAGTCCCATTACCCAAAAAAGTTCCCTGTCCATTCCCTTTGTTGCCAACAACTCCTCCACTGGAAACATCTGGCAACTAAATCTGTTTTATGTTTGCCTTTTCCAGAATGTCATGATAGTAAACTCATACAATATATTTACTTTTGGGTTTGGTTTTTTTCACTTAATGTATTTTGGGTTTATCCATGTTTGGGTTTATCCATGCAGTTTATTCTTCTTTATTACTCAGTAGTATTCCATTGTAAGGATACAACAGTTTGGTTAGCGATTCACCCTTTGAAGGACATTTTAGTTGCTTCCAGAGTTGGGGAACTTAGGGGACTCATAAATTCCTAAGTTACTTTCCTTCTGTTCCCAAGCAGATAGGCTTTTCTTTGAATGTTGGATTGCATACAAGATTTTGTGTAGGACTTAAGAAAAAATAAACTATATAAACATTGTACTCTAGTTGGCAGATTTGTTTCTCATGGAAATATCGGTCAACAATTCTGAGCTATGTTACATGTGCACTAGGGTTGAAAATATAAGTAAATGAATGGTGGGGGTGGAACCTGGTTTCTCACTGAGGAAGAAGAGAAGTTACGAATAAGTCAGGGGAGAAGGTTAGAATGAATGCTTGTGTTACTCACTGGCTTACAGTTGGAGGCAGTATAAATTCATGTTTAGCATAGATAGAACAGTTTTAATGTTTCCTTTTTCTACTTTGATTTTAATTGGCTTTTTAAAAATCTTCTCCAGGTAAAAGCTTTATTGGTTTTACACCCTTCTCTTCAAATACAAACATTTACATTCTTAAAAAATTTCTCAAAGTACTTCTTTTACCATTTTTTCTCAAATTATAATATGGTGAGTTTCCAGTATTATTCAGGTTGAAATATTTTCAAATTTCTACTTTTATTTCTTTATTAATACATAGATTACTTAAGTGTATTGCTTAATATTCAAGTATTTGAGGACTTTCTAAATTTTTGTACTTTTATATCTGTACTTTACTACTTTTATATCTGTACTTTAATACTGTGATGGTCAGAGAATATATTCTGTGGTTTTAATTATTTGAAATATTTGGAACTTGTTTGAAGAATCAGCACGAAGTGTATTTCAGCTTTTGTTATTTCCACATGATAAAACTGTGTATTCAGCAGCTGTTGGGTATGATATCTATAAACATCACGTAAGTTTAAAATACTGTTGTTCAAATTTTCTGTATCTTTATTGGTGTTTCTCTTACCTCTCCACCAATTACTAAAAGACAAAGATTATTATAATCTCCAACTGTCATGGTTGATTTGTATATTTCTTTCTTTCAATTTTAGTTCCCTATTTTTAATCAATGGTATTCGTTATTTACACTGTGCCAGGTCCTGAATGTTGTGCCTCTCCAAGGTTCATATGTTGAAACTCTAATCCCTAATGTGATGGTTTTTGGAGGTGGGGCCTTCAGGAGGTAATTAGGTCATGAGGATATCTTCCTCATGAGATTTGTGCTTTTTATAAGAAGAGAACCAGGGAGATGACCTTTCTCTCTGCCATGCAAGGAAAGAGCAAGAAGGCATCCATTTCAAACCAGGCCCTCGCCAGGAACTGAATGGGCCGGCACTTTGATCTTGAGCTTCCTGCCCTCCAGAACTGTGAGAAATCAATTTCTGTTGTTTAGGCCAGTGGTCCCCAACATTTTTGCTTTCATGGAAGACAATTTTTTCCACAGACCAGAGTTGGGGGATGGTTTTTGGATGACTCCAGTGCATTACATTTATTGTGCACTTCATTTCTGTTATTACTACATTGTAATATATAATGAAATAATCATACGACTCATCATAATGTAGAATCAGTGGGAGCCCTGAGCTTATTTTCCTGCAACTAGACAGTCCCATCTTGGGGTGATGGGAGACAGATCATCAGGCATTAGATTCTCATAAGGAGCACACAACCTAGATCCTTGCATGTGCAGTTCAAAATAGGGTTCATGTTCCTATGAGAATCTAATGCCGCTGCTGATCTGATAGAAGACAGAGCTCAGGTGGTAATGTGAGCCATCCGGAGTGGCTGTAAATACAGATGAAGCTTTGCTGGCTCACCTACCATTCACCTCCTGCTGTGGAGCCTGGTTTTTAACAGGCCACAGACTGGGACTGGTCTATGGCCCAAAGGTTGAGGACCCCTGGTTTAGGCCACCTGCCCTATGGTACTCTTGTTATAAGAGCCGTAACTAAGATGCACAGTTAAGATTGCTATGCCTTTTTATACCTTTCTTTTTTTTGTTGTTTTTTTGAGACAGAGTCTCGCTCTGTCGCCCAGGCTGGAGTGCAGTGGTGCCATCCTAGCTCACTGCAACCTCCGCCTCCTGGGTTCAAACGATTCTTCTCCCTCAGCCTCCTGAGTAGCTGGTATTATAGGCACCCACTACCACATTCGGCTAATTTTTTTGTATTTTTAGTAAAGACATGGTTTTGCCATGTTGGCCAGACTGATCTCGGACTCCTGACCTCAGGTGATCCACCCACCTTGGCTTCCCAAAGTGCTAGGATTACAGGCATGAGCCACCACATCCAGCCACCTCTTTCTTTTATCATAAAATTTCCTTTTTCTCTTGTACTAATCTTTGTGTTGCAGTTTATATTATCTGATATTAACACAGCCATTCCAGGTTTCTTATGATTAGCTTATTGAATGTCATATTATTTTCCATTTGATCTCTTTGTGTCTTCATATTTAAACTGTAGATCTTGTACACAGCATATAGTAGAGCTTTACTTTTTATACTGACTGTAATTTCTGCCTTCTAATTTTTGCGGCGAGTCCGTTAACTTTTAATGTAATTATTGATATGTTTATGCATAATTCTTCCACTTTGTGATTTGTTTTTATATGCCTTATTTTTGCTTCATTTTTCTGTCCCTCTTTCCTTCATTTGGGTGAATCAGTTAAAGATATGCATATATACCCTTTGTATTTTAGATCTGCTGTGACATTTTGGCTAAAACTATTCTGTTTTAGTGGCTGTACTAGAGATTACAATACGCATCTTTGACATATCACACTATCATCAGATAATATTTTGCTACTTCATAAATAATGTTGGGATATTACAAATTATAGCTAATTTCTCTTTCCTCTCAATTTTGCGCTTTTTGGCATGCATTTTATTTCTACGTATGTTATAAATCTCATAAGATATAGGTATCGCTTTTTCTGTTAAACAGATAAAAGTCATTTAATGAAGTTTAAAAATACAAAAAAATTCTTGTTTTTTAAACTACTTATTTCTCTTTTCTGATGCTCTTCATTTCTTTCTGCAGACTGGGACTTACTTCTGATATTATATCCCTTAAGAATAAAAAAGCTCTCTAATTATTTTTTGTAATTAATACAAATTCTCTTCTGGTGATTCTGAATATGTTATTTTCACCTTCAGCTCTGAAGTGTATTTTTATTGCCTGTGGAATTGCAGGTTGTGAGGTCGTTTTTATTTACTTTCATTACTTTAAAAATGTCCTTCCATTATCTTCTGTCCTACATTTTGTCTTTGATGAGAAGTCAGCTGCCATTCTTATCATTGTTTCCCTGATTAAAATAACTCATTTTTTACCCTCTGGCTGACTTAAAACATTCTCTCTTTATCTTTGGCTTTCAGCATTTTACAGATGGTATGACAAGATTTCTTTATCTTTGTGTTTATCCTGAATGATATTTGATGAGGTTTTTTTTGTACATTGATACTTAAAAATCATTCAAGTTTTAGAAACTTTATTATGTTTTTGGATATTTCTTCTGCTCTCTTCTTTGTTTCCACTAATTTGGGAGCTTTACTTTCACATTTGCTATATAGTTTAACATTGTGCTGCAGATCTTGAAGAGTTTTATATTGTTGTTTCAATTTGGATTTTTTTAAGTTGACCTCTTGAAGTTCACTGATTGCTTTGACAGACTCGAAGGTGGTCCTCAGGAGCTCCTCTTTCTGGTATCCACACCTTTGTGTAAACCTCTTTCCTTGAGCCTTTGAGTATGGTTAGGAACTGTGACATGGTTTGGATGTTTGTCTCCTCTGAATCTCATGCTGAAATGTGATCCCCAGTGTTGAAGGTGGGGCCTAGTGGGAGGTGTTTGGGTTATGGGGGCAGATCCCGCATGAATGGCTTGGTGCCCTCCCCAAGATAATGAGATCAGAGGAGAGCTGGCTGTTGAAAGGAGCCTGGCACCTCCTCCTCTCTCTGGTTCCCTCACTCATGTGATACGCTGCTCCCCATTCACCTTCTGCCATGATTGTAAGCTTTCTGAGGCCTCACCAGGAGCAGATGCTGGAATCATGCTTGTATGGCCTGCAGAACAATGAGACAAATAAACCTCTTTTCTTTATAAATTACCCAGCCTCAGGTATTCCTTTATGGCAACGCAAAACTGACTAATACAACGTGTGACTGGCTTCTGACCAACAGAAATGTGATCACATAATATTCTGTTATCCACTGTGCTAGAGTTCCTGTCTCTCTTCCTCCATCTGTGTCCTTCTCTCTCTTTCTTCCCCTCCCTCCATTCATTGTTGATTGTGGGCTTTGAAGAAGCAAGCTGCCATGAGTCCTATAACTGCAAGAAAATGAATTATGCCAGTAACCTGAGGAAGCTTGGAAGCAGATCTTTTTCTTAGTCAAGCTTCTGACAGCAGCATTGTGAGCCCTTAAGCAGAGGATTCATCTAAGCCATTTCTCAGATTACTGACTCATGGAAACTGTGAGATAATAGATGTGTGTTATTTTAAGCAGCTAAATTTGTAATAAGTGTTACATGGCAATAGAAAACGAATACAATGCCTCTTTTCTCTGTTGTGTCCGATATGATGCTAAATCTCTCAAATGAGTTTTTCATTTCTGATACCTCTGTGAAAGAAAATAGAATCTTGGGACCCTAAGCTATTATGACAGAAAGAAAGTTTAAGCTTGAGAACAGAGTCTCACAATACTGCTTTCCTTTTGTTCCCAAACAGCTGTAATTTTACAACTCTGTGTCATAGCTTTATCCATAAGCCAGGTTTCCACAATGATGGAAAGCCACATGTCTCCCCAAATGCTCTCCCTCACAAACTTCTCACCAGAAAGTACCCTGTGAGCCTCTGCAACTTTCAGGATACACGTCCCCCCCAGGAACCAGCCCTAAAATCACGTTCTGTTGAATCTCACACTGACAATGTCAATTACCAGTTTATTTTCATAGGTGTAAGACAAGGATAAGACTAGAAACCATTCTTCCACCTACCCTGAGACAAATTCATGATTTGCTTTTTCCTCTACTCCCTCTTTTAGCATGCTTTATCTTATGTAAAATGTAGAATTACAGAGAGTGAGACGATGGATAACTGACTTTTTTCCTACTTTCTCTTTTCACAAGTAAAATGTCAATTTACTTAGGCTAATGAGTCTCATACAAATGTAACCATCTGCCTCGATGCCTACTCTCCCTCTTTTTCTTATCCTCTTGCTCTCCTGCTTGTTCTTTCCCTTTTAAATACTGAAGATCTCTCGAGACCAGCCTGAGCAAAATAGTGAGATCTTGCCTCAAAAACAAACAAACAAACAAACAAAAAAACTGAAAACCCACAACTGGGCATGGTGGTTCATGCCTGCAATTGCAGCACTTTGGGAGGCTGAGGCAGGAGGATCACTTGAGTCCAGGAGTTTGAAACTAGCCTGGGCAACCTAGTGAGACTCTGTCTCTACAAAAAATTAAAAAACAAATTAGCCAGGTGTGGTGGCTCATGCCTGTAGTCCCGGCTAGTTGGGAGACTGATGTGGGAGAATGGCTTGAGCCCAGGATGTTGGGTGTGCAGTAAGCCATGATTGCACCACTGCAATCAGCCTGGGTGACAGAATACGACCCTGTCTCAAAAAATAAATAAATAAATAAATGAAGTTTCCAAGACTCCATTTGGAAAGATCACGGATGTTCTTGTGATGCTCTTTTTTCCAGGAGCATCCTCAACCTTCGCTAAATAAATTGCTCATTTGAGACTTGCCTTATACACTTTTTGGTTAACATCTTATATTTTAATTTATAACATTCTATTTTGTGCCCCTATCTGAAATTTTCTTATCTGTTCATACATGTGGTCTACCATCTCCTGGATCATTTAATGTATTTTTCATTTTTATTTTGAAATCCCACTGTGATAATTCTCTTATCTGGCTATTTCTATGTCTACTTTTATTTACTGTGTAAACTCTCTTGACTTTGAGTCAAATTCTGCTGACTGTTTTCTGTCAGACATTCTTTTTTATTATATGTCAGAGAGAATGTGTTAAGAAAACAGTAAAGACTGAAGTATTTATGATTTAACCCCAGTGAGGGGTAGGAGCCAACACAGTTCTATTTTCTTTCAGGCTACTATTATGTAGGCTGACTCAATCTAATCTATATTAGAGATGCATGTAGAGTTTTTGGCAGCTTTAGTTACATTCAGTTTACTACTGGCTAAAATATTTTGAAGACAGTGCTTTTCCTTAGCTGGGCATGGGATCTGAGCACTGGCACAACTCTGGGTATGTCTTTAAGTGTTACCTCACAACTACTGGGTTTCCGAAACAGGAAATCTCTTTCCACTTTACAGACCAGATGTCATATTTTTGTAATGTTGGTGAATTCTTCCTTTTCTCCATTCTTCGCTTTCACTTTCTATATCCATGGATCTCTTTCTGATCTATTATCCAGACTTTAAGGGACTTTTTAAGGGACAAAGCATTGGTATCTTTCAGAAGGATTTCTCTGGGCTCTCCTTCTTTTCTCCCAACATCCAGGTGCCTATCACCTTCCCCCTTTGTGAAGGTTCCTTATGCCTCAGGTGGGAATCTTTCTCAGTTTCTTTCCCTCCACCATACTTTGCATACTACCCTCTTGGATTCAGTGAAGAAACATGGGAAAGAATCAGTGGATGTTTACAGGCTTGCTCCTCAGCTGAGTTTCCTAGGGATGCATGTCAGCTCACATGCTGCCATTAAGGTTTGATCAAAGCTTGGTGTTCTTCTCCCAATCACTTTCTGTAGCACATTTCTCCACCTGTTACCACTCTACCAGACATGAAAGCAGCTATGGATCTCTTCTTTTCCAAGAAGTGTTCATCACGTATGTTTAGGTCTCCAAGCTGTGATTTCCTTTAACCATGGTTTTGTAGCATAACAGACTTGCCCCTGTGATTAGGCTGGAAGCAATGGGCACTTATGACTGTTCCCATCGTAATAAGAAGTATCAGTGCATTTCAGGAATTTGAATCTCTATACATCTGTTGCCCAAAATTTTTTTTTTGCAGTAACCTAAATTTCCCTCCATATTCCCTAAACTCTCACCACAAAAAGAATCAAAAGGTTGTGGGAGTGTAGCTTGCATTACACGTCGCATTTGAAAAATTATTTGACTATTTTTTCATCAAATTAACTGGACATTAACTTAGATGTCTCAATAAGTAGCAGGGAGCATTTTTGGAAATGCTCTCTAATTTTGTTCTTCAGCAAACAGAAATTCAGTATATAAAAAGAGAAAAAGAAAAAAAAACAAGAAAAGAAAGAAAGAAAAAAAAAACAGCTTAAGACCATGATAAACCAAAGTGAAGGAAACTGATAGCATTTTAGGAACCAGCAACATTTAATGAGAGTGAAGCAAACAGCAGGGTATTAGACAAATGAAAGCAGACGAGAAAATCTAATAAAACAGCTTGATCTAGGGATAAAATATAGGGCCATGATCAAAGAAAACAATCTTATAAAGAAAACAGTACCTGATTTTCTACAGACACTTAGCAGAGAATGATTCAAAAATTTAGTCAAGTTGTAGTACTAGATCTCTATTTTATGAATATGTATCTTATGAGAAGTATTCCTTTTTATTTTCTACAAATTGAAAATGGAGTGGTCAATAAATAAGCATGTTTTTACTTACATAAAGGCCCCAAAAAAGAAAAAATATTGTTGGTTTGCTTTTATTTACACTTATAAATAATATAGATAAAAGCTACATTTTATGATAGGCAAAAGAAAATTTAAAGTAGTAATTGTGAAGCAGAAGCTATATAATTGGATTAAGTAGTCTTAATGATTTCAAAACTCTTAAATTACCCCTCAAATTACCCAATTTGAGGAATGTACTGAAAATCAGTATTTCTCCTAAGAGTGTTTTACAGATCTAGCTAATGGACCTTATTGAAAAAGTCTGATGTCTGTTATGGCAATTTGGGGAGAAGGGTAGAGTTTTAGGATTCATTATATACATTTTTATAGATGCCAAATTCTACACCCAGATTAACTTTGGTAACCACTAGCCCCATTTCTATTCTATTTCTTCTAAAGTAATTTATGTGGACTTAGCATTGATAATGATTTTTTTAGGGAGCTAAAAACATGAGTATATAATCTCATTTATCCTTTAAAACTACTCATTAAGTAGTAAAGTGATGTCTTCTAAAATGGGAAAGATGGCTGAGAATGCTTCTTCATATAATGGTGTTTCCTGCATTTTGCTGATTCATAGTAGATCTTCATACTTAATCTTAGCGCTTCTTCATTGTACAAAAACAACAGTTAAAGTGCAAATAAAATTTAGGAATTAGTTGACAGCCTTAATTATGCATGCTTGATTTCTTTGTTTGGCTCTCAGAATTTAATCCTTCATTGTCACGGTTGCATGCTTATCACATCTTATTTGTTTATACCTGTATCCCTAGCACTAAATACATAGCTTGCACCCAGTATACACTCAAGAAATAATTTTGTAATACAAAAATGAAGGTTTCTTCTATTGGAAAATAATGTTCATTACATTATATAGTTGTTTGCTTTCTCTCTCTTTTTCTATTTATACAGGAAAAAGTATATATGCATATATATAGTAAACACATATATTTCAGATTTAATATATAACTAATAAGTATATTGTTATATAATAATTAATTACTGTTTTTATTATTTGCCAAACACTATTCTTTGCTCTTTAGCGATGTTAATCCATTAACTTTAATAACAGTTCCTTGGTTTAGGTACTGTTACTGTGCCCAGTTATTTTCTGTTAAGTGATCTGAGAGAGAGGAGCTAAATAAAGTGCCCCAGGTCACACAGCTGCTAATGATATCATTGGGATTCAGAGACAGATTATTTTATGCAAGTCTAGCTTATAAAGCATCAAACTCTACTGCCTCTCCAACTATTCAAACAAAACTGAGATGCTTGTATGTGAAGACACAATACTACCCTTGATACTAAATTATTAGGAAATTTCCGTATTCATTTTTTAGCACACATGTACTACTATATTCAGAAATAAGCATGAGGTATACACATAAATTGTAAGGATATAGAACATGAGATAGAAATGTAAAAGAGGGTGATGGGGGAACTTGAGGAATTAATATCAATTTCTTAAGAAAATGCTGGAATTACACTGTGATGAACTAGGTTCCCACACTATTTGGTGGGAGTGAATGAGAGGCTTTGGATGTGAATGTAGGTGTGCCTTGTTCACCTTGCTCAGGTTCCAGCAGGTGCTCAATAAATGTGTGCATGAGTAGAGAAAGCAAGCAGGAAAATGGAGGGGGAAAGAAGGATGGAGAAAGGAGGTAGGGTGGTCTAAGAAATGGGAATGTGCTTTTCCAAACTAGAGTTAAGACCCCAGCAGGCAGGGGCTGGGATCTATAATTCTTTTCAAGCCCACCATGTTCGATATAATGGAATGCAAGGACATCCTTTTTTAGAAAGAATATTTAATCTGATTATTCTTTTACAATTGTCTGAATAATCTGCCCTAAGACAGCTAATGTAGCATTATTACTCTATCATTTAGATAAGAAAAGCACAACTTGGGATAGTTAAATGAATTAACAGAGGCCACATAGCTCAGCGTGGGAGGCGGGACTTTGTACTTGGTCTTTTAGTTCCAAAACATTATGTTTACCCCGGTATATATTAAGCTTCACCCTACTCTAAGACTTAATAATAAATAATTAAATATTCATTCCTAAATCTCTCACCTTTTGACAAACTTGGGTCTAATTTTTGAAAAAGTTTTCTTTTCAATAAAACCTAAAATTTCTAACCTTTCCTATACCCACTGAAATATGAGTTTCATGAACCAATACAGTTAATCTCTCTATGAAAATCCCTTATGTTGTGTTGTCAGAATTTCTTCCCACTTACAGTATCAGTTCAAACAGCTTTTTAGAGATAACTAATTCTTAGGGAAGCCTGAGTCCTTTATGGCTAATCCTTCACGTGGCAGCACCATTCCCTTTATTTTTAGCCTCATTTAGTTCAAGTGACAGTCTCACTCTGACATCTACAGTGGCTTCCAGCTGTGTCTGGTCTCCCAAAGGGACTCTGAAGGGAAATCAGAAATGAGCACTGCAGAGTTTGAATGAGTTTTCTCTGAGTCTTACTAAATATGAAGCTTGCATGTTACATTTCTGGGGATATCCTGATTTCAATCTAGTGATAAGTATTGGCATTTGGAGGTAGTAACCCAACCACTGTAAGTCCTTTTTTATTTTTGGTAGAGCTGCACAATCTCAAATATTTATGCAATAATTATTTCATATACAATTTCTGTTTTCAGGGAAAGATAGCTTGAACTGGAAACTGAACGTTTGCCATGTTATCCACTCTTTCAGTATACATGCATGCATGCATTTATTCAATTACTAATTCACATATATCACTAATTCAACAAACATACTTTTAGTTTCTACATTACATTAGATGCTAGATTCTGGGAATACATAATGCAAAAAGTAGCCTCTGATTGCCAAGTCTCATGGTCTTGTAGAGATAACTTTGTGGAGCAAATCATTAAAGTGCTTTATTGTTGACAAAGTCACTCCATCTCCAACTTTTAAATTTTTATCAACTAATATGGGAGCTTTTACTCCACAGTCTCAAATATTCTAATGCATTTTTTTTCAATTGTTCATTGGTAGATATTTAAGATTTTATACCCCGAACTGTTTTGATCATGGCTATCATAAACGGGATTACATAACATTTCCTAATCAGTTATTTGAGTGTAAACAGGAAAGTTGTTAATTTTATGTTAATTTTGTTATCAAGTCCATTACTGGGCTTTTGATTATTTTCGCCTATTTTATTTCAGCTACTTTTGTTGGGTTTCCCAGGTGGAAAATCATGTAATTCAAAAACCGGAAAAACTGTACTCTTAACATAAAAAAAAAACTGTGATTTTCTTCTTTTCTGGTTTAATTGAAGATTATGTATAGAATGTAGATCAGTAATAACGATGATTAGTCATTTTCATCTTAATTATTTGCATTAAAGAATGCTTTTAATCTGTTTTATATTATTAATAATGCTTGTTTTTCAACTTCTCTTTTTCTAAAGTTCATTTTTATTGCATTAAGGAAGATAACTATTACTTTACTAACATTTTACAGTAAGTATGGATTTTGAATTTTAAAAGTGTCTTCAATGTCTCTCTTCAAGTGATTTTTATTGACCCACTGTTTTGATGGATTAAATAATTAGTGTCATAATGTTAAACTACTCTTGAATGTGATACCTATATTTTACTTATTCGTTGTACAAGTATAGACTCAAATTGGATAGTAAAGGAGAGTTTAATAAACAAACTATTTATAAATTGTCGTCAGGTTTAAGGAAACCAGAAAATGGCGATGTTGTACCATGGGACTAGTAATAGTGGGTAAACTTTACTATCTCTCGGCTGGAAGGGTAAGCAAAAAGGGTTAAACAGGGTAGCTACATGGCCAGGACTGCTTGACAAGAAGTGTGACCCTTATTAGAAAGATGCAGTCAACCAACAGTGACACTGTATGAAGGGAGTCAATGGAATTATTCCCCTACGACATTCCTGCCACCCACTGTTTTCTGCCCATGTAACTTGAAGCCAGAGGATGGAAAGTCCACTGATACTCTTTACGAGGCCCTGATTTCTAGGGCACAGAGCTGGGTGGAGCAAGAACAAGAATGAGGAAACAAAATACATTTCTAATCTCTATATGTAGAGTTTCTAATAGCTTGGTATATTCCAGTCTCTGTACTATATATGGTCATTCCCATTATACAACAAGAACTCAAACTAATAAACCAGTACCGTTAAGAATGAAGAAAGAAATGAAGATCCTGTGTTAAAAATTTGCGTGTGACAACTGTACCTAATAAAGAAACCAATGTGGCTAGAGTTTGATGAGAAAGGAAGACTGACTTGGGATAAGGATAGAGAAGAATCCAGAAGATATTAAATAGGATTCAAGGGCTTGCAATTTATAAGATGTTAGGTTTTTATTCTAGCTACAATGGAAGTCCATTGCAAGGTTTTATGTAGAGAAGTGTTATAAGAAGATCATCTGACTTATTTCCTGAAATAATTCCTGGTAAAATCTCTGCACCAGATGATTGATATAGCTAAGCATGCATACAAGTAGGTAGGTAATATTCTTTCTCTGAGTATGTATGGTGGGAGGATGTGGGTTGGGGGGGTGGAGATAGTTTGTTAACTGTGTTCTTGTTTTCTTTTCTCCAGGTCTCTTTCTGTTTAAATCTTCCAGATATAGGCTGGATGTTTTACATTTTTCAAAACATGAAGAATGATTTAGAGATGTAATTCTTTAAACAATTATATAGTGGTTGGTTATAGTTTTAAAATGCCTTCCTGTATTTGTATTTCTGCATCTTATTTTTGTGTACTTATACTTTTCTTGACATATTTACTAGAAACTTTTCTACTTTATTGATGATTATTTTCTTGAAGAGCAACAGTTTTGCTATTTCCGATGTCTGTGTTTATTTTACACTACCATATGCTTTTGGTTGTACTGTCCTTATTTTCTGCTGTTTTTTTTTTCCAATAATAAGACTACTGTCTAATAGGTTTTTGAGCATAACTTGTAAGTAATCTGTTTTTATTCTTAGTATCTTAGTAATATCATTTAAATATTAAAATATTATAAATTCCTTGTAGATTGCATCTCTTATTTTTGACATATAGTGAAGAGAATACCATTTGTCAACAACATAAAATCAGAGTTTTATTTTTCTATAGACCCATGAGATACAAGGACGTTTTTACTTTTTTAGTATTTTTTCTATGAATCCTTCATTTAAATGTGTATTTAATTCAATATTTTTTCCAGTATAATTTCCCATTAAAAATGACTTTACTATGATCATTTTAGGGTATATTTCAAAAAATTTACAAATCATATTTTTGTGAGAGACAATATAAATATTTGCAGATTAAATTTAGCTATCCTTTCTCTGTTGGAATTGTATTGGCTCTTTTCTCAAAAATCAATTGACTATAAATGTGTCAGTCTATTCTGGGCTGTCTACATGCCTGTTTTTACAATGATAATGCACTGCATTGTATATTGTATCTTTATACTAAGTCCTACAACCAAGTAGCATAGTCCACTGAAATTGTTCTTCCTTTTCAAAAATACATCAGCTATTTTAGTTTTTTTAAAAAAACTTTCACATAAAATTTAGAATTAGCTTGTCAATTTTCACAAACTACATGCTGCAATTTTAACTGGAATTATTTTGATTTTAAAGATCAATTTCTGGAGAATATCATCTTAAAAATAGCAAAACTCCCATCCATTCACATAGTATATGTCTCCATTTATTTAATGGTCTTAATTTTTCTCAGGCATGTTTTACACTTTTTTCATTCGGAGGTTTTATACCTCTTTGGTTAAGTTTATTCATAATTAGTTTTTCCATGCTTTCAAGTTAATTCATTACTGACATCGCCTCAGATGATTACCACCAATAATTGATGAGGCCTCAGTAAATGAGAACAGAAGTTATCACTCAGTTGTCTTTAATAGATTTTAAAAAAATGTAAAAAAGATAAAAAATAAAAGTGAATTTCCACTTAGTGATTAAGTTGTCCAGTATAACATAGTTGACGTCTGTGTATCTAAGGACGTAGGATTAAAAGCAAACTATTATTGAAGAACTACCTTCATCCCTTCCTAATATCGCCTCAAAGCCTTTTTTCTAATGTATCCTATGAACACTTTTGAGACTCAAGTGTTCTTCTACTTTGTGTCTTCCATTTCCAGTAGAAATATATTTTCCAGTAGAAATATATTTTCCAGTAGAAATATATTTTCCAGTAGATATATATTTTCCAGTATACTTTTCGTGAACCTTTTGATCTATTTTGTTTAATTCGTTTTTACTCATTTAGTCATACTTTCACTTTTTCTTTCATTCTTACTGGAGTCTATTCAAACTCATAATTAAAAAAATACAAGGTACCTCATTTCTGAGATAATTTTTTCTTTTATTTGTGTCTAAGTTCAGTCAGTTCTCTTCATTTTTCTCTGCTTTTAAAAATCCATTAATGTTGTTAGTATTTTAATTTCAGAATTTTTCTTTTTAATATTCTCAAATGTTTGCTTGATGACCCTTTTAATTCTTCTTTTTTTTCCTGCAGGAATTTTCTTACATTGATAGTCTTTTTGCTTTTTTTGGCGAGACTTCTGCGTGGACTTATTAATTCCTCTCGTGTTCATATATGTAGCATTTTAGGGTTTTATAAAATTGCTAGTTAAATATTACCCTCTTCTGTCTGTATTGCAAAGTCTAGATACGTTAGTGGATTTGTTTTGTTGCTAGGAGGATGAGTAGTAGTTCCTCCAATTTTATGGCTATATTTTGTTTGGTAGAATGCTAAATTTTCTTCTTTTGCTTTTTTACTCTTCATCAATCAATTGCCAAAGGATGCTGCATTTTGACTTTTTTACTTATTTTTATTTACTTTTTTGTGTTTTTGAGATGGAATCTTGCTCTGTCACCAGGCTGGAGTGCAGTGGTGCGATCTTGGCTCACTGAAACCTCTGTCTCCTGGTTCAAGTGATTCCCTTGCCTCAGCCTCCTGAGTAGCTGGGACTACAGGCACGAGCCACCATGCCCAGCTAATTTTTTGTGCGTATTTTAGTAGAGACGAGGTTCAACCATGTTGGCCAGGATGGGCTTGATTTCCTGACTTCGTGATCCACCCACCTTGGCTTCCCAAAGTGTTGGGACTACAGGCGTGAGCCACCGCTCCCGGCCTCATTTTGACTTTTTTTTATCCCCCAGAATTTTGCCTGTTTTATTAAAAACAATTTTATTTTCATGTAATTTCTGACTTTGACTCACAGTAATTGGGGCATGATATAGACAGGGTCTACTAGCAGAAAGACTCACATGCAAGGAATGGTATAAGATATTTAATGCTCTGTCTAGTTACCTAACATTCATTAGTTAATATATCTTGGGTGGAGATCCAGGAATCATCTTCCCTTTAGTTTCTGGTCACAATGGGGCTCTTTCTACTTACCAGATCTGTTGTCACTGCTACCCCTATGAGCTCCTAAGGACAAAGCAAAACTTCTATTTCTGCTTATTTCTATTTTTCTCATCTTACCAAATAGTCTTCTTTTTTCTTTTCTTTTAGATGAGGTCAGAGTGGAATGGGACTGTAGTAAAAGGAAGTACATTTAAAAAGCTTTATTCTTCATTTAAATATGCATCCTGAAGAGATATACAGTAGATTCTATGAATGTTCTTTGCAAATTACAAAATTAGCCGAGCCTTTTCACATTATTTGTATATCTCAGAATTTTAAGAACCTATTTGATGATCTCAGTAGGAGGTTAATACTAATACACTTTTTGAAGGGATGGGGACAATACTTAATGCTAATAAACTTTTTTTCATGTGACACTGGAGGAAAAGCAGAGAAACACTTATGCTTTTAATTGAACCAATTTGTACTTTCTACAAGCTCCCCCTGTGATTGTAATTCACAGTAATTTTGGGGAACCACTACCAAAAATCCTTTACCGAAAAGAATAGTCAGGCATACTACTGAGCTTTGGTGTAGCAAAAGGCGTATTTGGGTTTTATTTATCCTACTAGGAAGCAGTGAGGGACTGGACACCCGGGAGCAGGACTACAAAAAAATTCTCAAATTTGTACGTTCCCCATGTTTCTTTTGGCTTGTATCTCCCTGATGGGCTCCCCTTAGTGATCAACAAGAAAGTGATTCAGATGGAAAGAACTCCTATATTTGTGTTCCGAGGTGGTAAAGAAGGAATGGCTGGGAATATTTAGTACTATGCTGAAGTTGGGCCTGGGGGAGAACACTCAGCTGAGAGTGTAGGTGTATCCTGGGGGTGCGAGGCAAAGGAAAAAGGAAGAAACTGGAGTGGGGAGAGTTTATTTATTGCTTAACTAGGGACAGTTTGGGATTCTTAGGCAAATGGTGTTCCCCATTTACTGATGGACTCAGACAAGTGCAGTTTAATGGCATGTCTCAGTGAACTAAGTAACTAAATAAAGATACATTTCCATAGACTATTGAGCCAAGTATATATTTCTAAATCAAGCATAGAAAGGAAGAGAACCTCACACATCCCATAGTGTGCTAGTAGCCCCAGACAGTGAGAAATGCTCACATTTCTACACTTTCTATAAATTTCCTTTGCTTCAAAATATCAGTGCTTGAATAAAATTATTGATGGGTTTATCTCAGCCTAAAACTAAACACATACGTCAACATGTCTTAAATATTACTTATTTTCTACAGACAGATCTCAAAAAATTTTGTAATCATTTGCATAGCTTAATTTCCGCTTGCCAAATTACTTCTATTGACAATAATCCCTATGCCCAGTGGGTACTTGGCATTTATCAAAGCATTTTTGCATGCATGACGATATGAGATTGATCATGCTTATAGTAATCTCTGGAAACATGACTCTACAAGTCATGGAGAATTCAAACAACTCACATCAACCCAGCAACCCTGGGAGTCATCAGGACAAGATTTAATAACATTGCACGGATATTGATAACCAAGTAAGTACTCTGCTCAAAGATATTTGGCCTTTAAAAGCTAAAAATAGAAACTTTGATCTGATATTTTGAGCCCAAATCCGAACTCTTTATATCAAATATCATACCTTCTGGGCCGTGACTTGCTCATAGGTTTTATGCCAGGAGAGTAGTTAAGGAATAGACAAACTAAACAGATTATTGCTACAACAACTGGTATAAATTGAGCACTACTATGTGTAGAGATCTGCATTCAGTAGTTTCAAACATCATATTCTTGTCACAATTGCCCTATAAGAAAGGGGACTTTGTCTTTTCAATTTACAGATAAGAAAGCAAAAACATAGATATTGGAAGGAAATTATCCTTATAGCCACAGATCAATGGTGAATTATTTTCTGTTTATTTACTTAGAAGATGTCTGACTTGGCAGATCTCCTTTAAAATCTATCCATGTTCGAAACTTCCCGCCTTACCTTCAACTCAGAGAAGCATAAAAGAAGGGTCTTGCAGTCTCAGCATGAATCATGTCAATCTCTAAATTTCTCAAGTGCCAATGCATCTTCCTGATCATTTACCTATTGTAAGTCTATCTGCTAAGGCTGGTTTCTTGGCCTCTTTTGTTATCTGTCTGTCTATATATCATCTAGATATCATTTGTCTATCTCTGATTGCTTCATAGTTAACTTTTCTTTTAATTAAAAAAAGGTAAGGTTGAGATTATTTAAGAATGTTTCATATGAGCATTTGATAAACTGTATTCCATGGGACAACATTTACACAAAATCATTTAAGGCTAATCCACTTTCTAATCAAATATATTGCAGTGATGTTACTGTTTTCAGACCATCTTTGAAGAATCACTATCATCATCAAGAGATTAACATATCTGAAAAATCCTGAGGTTAGAAAAAAAAGTTAATTTTATTGAACATGGCATTTTTAAATGTATTTAAATCTCCTCATGCATCCTTTTCTGTTTTTAATACTGTTTCCTTATATCCTGAAGAATAATGTCTGCATTTTCTTGTCTGTCATGTATATAATGTAATCTGTCTGTTCTTAGAAATCCTCAGAAAACAAAACCTTTTCCGTCTCCCCTCAGCAGCCATCATAGACTGATTCCGCAGAGGTTTGACTTCTGGTTGTCTTGGTGTTCGGTGTTTGTTTTCACAGAATCCATTTAGGGTCGCAAAGTATTTACCATCTGCTCCTACTCTTTCTTTTGAAGTAAATGTCCTCATGGCCACTGACTCATTTCCCAGGATGGTTATATGGTCACCTCCATGTCCTTATTCAAAGACTAAGCTAGTTTTGAAGAAAGAAGAATAATCCACTATGTCACCTGTAGGGGACTGACAGTATCTCCCAGGGACAGCTGTGAAAGAGTATTCTGGGGCCACGTGTGGTGGCTCACACCTGTCATCCCAGAACTTTGGGAAGCCAAAGCGGGAGGATCGCTGGAGTCTAGGAATTTGAGATCAACCTGGGCAACATAGCAAGGCTGCATCTCTAAAATAATATAAAAATTTTAAAAATGAGTACTCTGGGATACACTGGTGCAGTGTTGAGTTCCTTGCTCCTTGAAGGATGTCTGTCCTGGATGCTAGAGAAATTGAAGTCCAGCCATGAAAACTCTTTGGCATGCCTAAAGAGGACTGATTAGAACTTCAGTTGGTATTCTTTACCATATAGTTGTGACTCAGTCCTTACTAAGATAAAGTTTCTGAAATATTCCTTTACCTTTGTAATGCTATGCTTGCCATTCTTTACTCTCCTCACCCCAAATGTTTTCTCAAACAAAAGCCAATCAGAGAATGGAGAACAAACCTTTCCAGCTGATGAAACACAAATATCTTTTTTCTCTTGGATTTATTTAGCAGTTGACATTACCGAAACCATAATGAATGATAAAGTGACCATTGATATATATCAGATACCTATTACGTGTTCGATAATGAATTAAAGGTTTGCACACAATGATGTTTAATCATCTCTACAACCTTGAAAAAGTTATTTCATTATTTTTACAAAATCCCCTAAATTTCCAAATAATTATGCTCATGTGCTTTCAATCTAGAAACAACAATGAAAGTGCATGATAGAGTGGAGAAAAGTCCCATTTACACAATGAGTTTTATTTCGAGCTGGGGGAAATCAAGTAGATAATTAGGTGTGGTATATCCAATCTTGAGAGAATATGCACTGTACTGGAGGAAAATGGCTTTAGAAATTAAGACAGAACTTGGTTTAAATAACTTTGGGAAAATCGTTTAGGCCAGAGAACCATGTCATCTCCCTCAACCCGGTTTCTTCTCTACCTACCCTACAAGTCATCACTATATTAGTGTTAACTGTTAGTATTAACTAAGTTTATCTGATTCCTCTTTAAGCAATTCCTCAAAAGAAAAAAATCTGATAATTCCATATTTGTGCTTAAAGCCTCTTAATGAATCCCACTGCTTAAACAAACAAACAAAAACAACAACAACGAGAACCACAAATCCTCAGTGTAGTGGCCCTTCTGCTTCAGACGGTGCTGGCCTTACCAGCCTGCTTTGAACCAGCCAGGATCCCTCTTCATGCTCCAACCACATAGGCTTCCATTTCAGTTTTCAGCAAGGATCACTCTTTTGCATGGAATGTCACATACTCTCTCACCTAAACCTGAAAAATGTTTGCTTATCTTTCAGAACTTAGGACAAAATTTATCTGATCATGAAAGGGCCAACTTATCCATTATCCCACCCATCAGTTGCCATCTGATGAGGTCTACTTCTTTTTCCTTGAAATTTTTATAATTGTAACAAAATAATGCAATGAAGACTTTCTCATTTAATGCTATTTTATCTTTTAAAATTGTTAGCTTTGTAAGTTTGTCAGTGTTTTCTCTTTTTCTCTTGCTGTATCTACAATGGCTACCACTGCAACTCACAATGTAAGTGTTCAATTCATATAGGAAAAATTGAAAGAAAAAAACTATGAGTAAATAAATTGATAGATGACTCCTCAGTTATCTCATCTTCTACATGAAAACAATAATATATAGATATATTTAGAAGTATGAAGATTAAATGATATGTAGAAAGATCATCTGTTATATTGCCTGATATGAAATTGGGAATCAACAATGGCAGTCTTTATTTTTCCCCAATAATTTTAATTTTAGGAAATTTTTAGGTTCACTGCAAAACTGATCAGAAAGAACATAATTCCCATGATATCCCCAGCTCCCCAGGCATGCACACAACCTCTCTCATTACCAATACACCCCACCCGAGTGGTACATTTGTTATAATTGATGAACCTACAATGACACATCACTATCACCCAAACTCTATCACATTAGGGTTCACTCTTGATGTTGGACATTTCCTGAATTTTGACAAATATATAATGATGTTTATCCACAATTGTAGTATCTTTCAGAATAGTTTCATTGCTTTAAATCTTTCATGTATTGCCTATTCATCCCTCCATCTCCGTAACCCATAGCAAACACTAAACATTGTCATGATTATTGTAAGTCTTGAAGTCACATAGTGATAGTCCTCAAACTGTTTTTCTCCTTCAGTATTATGTTACCTATTCTGGACCTTCAGCCTCTCCATATAAACTCTAGAAATAGTTTGTCAATAACCACAAAATAACTTGCTGGACTTTTAATTGGGATTGCATTGAATCTATAGATCAAGCTGGGAAGAACTGACATCTTGACAGTATTGAGCCTTCTTATTCATGAACATAGAATATCTCTCCATGTATTTAGTTCATTGATTTCTTTCATCAGAGTTTTTCAGTAATCCTTATAGATCTTGTAGGTTTTTTGTTATATTTATACCTAAGTATTTAATTTTGCGATGTCCTAGTATAAACAGTACTGTGTCTTCAGTTTCAAATTCAACTGGTTCATTGTTGGTATATATAAAAGCAATTGATTTTGTGTATTAACCTTGTATCCTGAAACTTACTGTAATCACTTATTAGTTTCAGGAGTTTGTCAATTCTTTAAAATTATTTACATAGATTATGTCATCTGTAACAATAAGTTGTGCATTTTCTTTTCCAATTAGTATATCTTTTATTTTCTTTTCCTGTCTTATTGCACTAGCTAGGATGACTACGAATGGTGAGAGGAAATATCTTTGTCTTGTCCTGATCATCCTTAAAAAGCTTCTAGTTTCTCAAAATTAGGTACAGTGTTAACAGTAGGTTTTTTGCAGTCTTTGTCCTCAAGTTGAGGATGTTTCCCACTATTTCTAGTGTACTGAGAAAATTTTTACCATGAATGGATGTTGAAATTTGTCAAATGCTTTTTTCTGCATTTTCTAATACAATTTTGATTTTTTTCTTCTTTAGTCTGATGTGATTGTTGGATTAGATTTATAAATTTTTCAATATAAAAGCCTTTTATAGCTGGGATAAATCTTACTTCATTGTAGTGTATAATTATTTTAGCTATTGTTGAATTTGATTTGCCAATAGTATGTTATGGTATCTGCATCTATGTTTATTAGAGAATTGGTCTGTAGTTTTCTTTTCTTGCAATATCTTTGTTTAGTTTTGGTACTAGGGTAATTCTGGCTTTTTAGAATGATTTAGAAAGTATTTTCTCTGCTTCTATCTTTTGAAAGAGATGGCAGATAATTGCTATAATTTCTTCATTAAATGTTTGACAATTCACCAGTGAATACATCTGGGCCTGTTGCTTTCTGTTTTGGAAAGTTATTAATTGTTTATTCAATTTTTAAAATAGATTCAGGTCTATTCACATCGTCTCTTTCTTCTTGGAAGGTTGTGAAGAATCCAGGGCAGGAAATAACAATTGCCTTAATTTACATTCACAACAGACAGAGGGTAGGTTGACCTAACCCCTGATATTAGGAATGTAAGCCTTTTTCTTTCTTAGTTAGCCTGGCTCAAGTCTTATCAATTTTATTGCTCTTTTCAAAAAAAACAAAAAAAAACAAACAAAACAGCTTTTGTTTTTTGTCAGTCTTCTCTATTGACTTGCTGTTTTAGATTTCTGCTCTTTTTCTTTCATGTAACTTACTTTGAATTTAGTTTGCTCTGCCATTTCTATATTCTGAAGGCAAAAGCTTAGATGATTGATTTAAGATCTCATTTTCTTATTTTCTAAGATATGTATTCAATATCATAAATTTTATTTTAAGCAGTGCTTTCACTGCGTATCTGAAATTTTATTGTGTTTTCATTTTTATTTGGTTTAAAACATGTTGTAATTTCAGTTGAGATTTCTTCTTAGACAAATTGTTATTTAGAACTCTGCTGTTTATGAGTATTTGCGGATTCTCCAGCTATCTTTTTGTTTTTGATTTCAAGTTTAATTCCATTGTGTTCTGAGAGCAGGAATTATATGATTCCCATTCTCCTAAATTTGTTAAGGTGTGTTTTATGGCTCAGGATGTGGTCTATCTTGGTGAATGTTCTGTGTGAGATTAATAGTAATATGTAATGTGCTGTCATTGGATAAAGTAGTCAACAGTTTTAATTATATCTAGGTGACTGGTAATGCTTTTGAGTTCAAGTATATCTTTACTGATTTTCTGCCTGGTGAATCTATACATTTCTAAGGGAGGGGGTGTTAAAGTCTTCAACTATATTTGTGGATTTATCTACTTTTCCTCACAATGTTATTAGTTTTTGCTTCACATATTTTGAGGCTCTGTTGTTAGGTGATTACACATTAAGGATTTGCATGGATTCTTGGAGCGTTGATCACTTTATCATTGTGTAATGCTCACTTTTATAACTGATAACTTTCTTTGGTCTGAATCCTGTGCTGTCTGAAATTAATGTAACTACTCCCACTTTCTGTTGATTAATGTTAGCATGTTATATTTGTCCACTGTGTTAATCTTTATGTGCTTTTATATTTAAGGAGGGGTTTATTATAGACCATGTATAGTTCAATCTTGTTTTTTCATTCACTCTGACAATCTGTGTCTTTTAATTGGGGTATTTAGACCACAATGTTTAAATTAATTATTGACATAGATGGATTAATATCTATCATATGTTACTGGTCTTTCCTAATTTATTGTCCTGTTCTTTTTTTCTTTTTGTGTCTTCCACCCTTTTCTACTTTTTAGGTTTTATGTGAGCATGTTATATTATTCAGTTCTCTCCTATTTTGCATATCAATTATTCAACATTTTTCAGTGGTTCCGCTAGAATTTGCAATATACATTCTTTCATGTCTACTTCCAAATAACACTAGTGTGAATAGTTAACACAACATAAAGTTCTTCATTCTTCCCTCCTTTGTATCATTGATATAATTCATTTCGCTTAACATAAGCATGTATGTATATATATGTATATATAAAATGTATAATCAAATAATTATTGCTATTATTGTGAACAAATTTCTATCTCCTTGATCAATTAAAAATAAAAAAACCCTTTGTTTTAACTTCACTTATTCTTTTGCTAATGCTCTTTTTTCCTTTATATAGATCTGAGTATCTGACCTGTATTATTTTTCTTCTCTCTGACTAACTTCTTTAACATTTCTTGCAAGGCAGGTCTACTGGTAACAAATTTCCTCAAGTTCTTGTTTTTCTGTGAAGTCTTTTTATTATTTTTACTTTTGAAGATAATTCTTCACAAATTACCGTATCAAGAAATAGACTTCTAGTTGTTTATTTTCCTCTCAACAGTATAAATATTTCACTCTATACTCTTATTATTTGCATGTTTTCTAGGGAAAAATCCTTTCTAATTTTTATATTCGCATCTCTATAGGTAAGGTTTTCCTTCCTGCACCTACCTCGAGCTTCTTTCAAGATTTTCTCTTCATCTGTGATTTATGAAGTTTTAATAATATATGCCTAAATGTAAAGTCTTTTTTTTTTTTTTTGCATTTATTCTGCATGGTGGTCTCTGAACTTCTTGGATTTGTGGTATGGTGTCTGTTATTAATTTGGTAAAATTTGAAATAATTATACAACTCACCATATTGTAGAATCAGTCATTATTGCTCCAAATATTCCTTCTGTTTCTGTTTTTCTGTTTGGTTTGTTTGTATTTCCCTTCTGTAATCCCTATTATGTGTATGTTATTCCTTTTGTAGTTATCCCAGAATTCTGAGATTTTCTATTTCTTTTTAGTCTTTTTTTGTTTTTTCAGTTTGTGAAGTTTCTACTGACATAACCTCCAGCTCAGAGATTCTTTCCTCAGCCGTATCAAATCTACTAATGGGTGCATCAAAGGCATTCTTTATTTCAGTTATAGCATTTTAGATCTCTAGCATTTTTTGATATTTTCTTAAAATTTTTCTCTCTCTTCTTACATTATCCATCTGTTGTTGCACCCTGTCTACTTTTTCCATTAATGCCCTCAGCTTAGTAATTCTACTTTTTTATTTTGTTTGAATTCTTGGTCTGATAAAGCCAACATTCTTTCCACATTTTCTTCCGGTTCTACGTGTGTTTAGCTTCTTCAAACTGTTTGTTTTCCCTTTAGTATATCTTATATTTTTCATTGAAAGGTGCACATCACGTTCTGGATAGAAGAAAATCTGGAAAATAGGCCTTTAGTTATGTAGTGGTAAGGCATTGAGGAGTAGAAGCATTCTATAGTCTTATGATTAAATTGTAGAATTATGAACTTCACCAGTTTATAATCTTTGGACTTTGCTAGTGCTTCTCAGTTTTTCCTCACCTTAGGTAAGACAAGATAATTGGAGTGAGCTGGAGTTGAGTATTTTCTTTCCTCCACATAAATCTAAATTCCAGGGTTAGGTATTTTTCTTCCCTTAGTTAGGTTAGTCCCTAACGAACTTTGTTTCTCCTGATGAAAGGCCTTGTTAAGTAAGATCAGAAAGCTGTGGTATATTTCACAATGGTTTTTTTCTTCCCCCTGCTGGAATCACAAGAGATTTTTCTCTAATATTCACAGTGGGGAACTAGAAGAGCTCCTGGGAGGTAAAATTTGCAGTAATGTAGGAGCCTCTCTCTGACTGGACCCCCTTGGGAGTTTCTAACTCTCCGAGTTGTCCACACTGAGCCTCCAGCAATGTGTCAAATACAGCTCAAATTTTACGACCCCAGCACTGATTCTTGAGGAGGTTCTTGCTCAGGTAAACTGTGATTTTCTGCACCTGCCTGTCTGTCTCTCCAATTTTTTGGTCAGTGGTTTGCCCTGTGACCTTACCTTTCTGAGAGATCTAAAAAGAGTTTTTGATTTTCCAGTTTGTCCAACTTGTTACTTGTGGTTAGGATGGATTTGTGACTTTGAAGCTCCTCACATGCAGGTCTGAAAACTGGATGTGTGGCAGTTCCTTTGTTTTTTTTTTTTTCTTTTCTTCTTGCTCTTTTTTTTAATAAGAAGAATGATAATTATACCTTCATTTTTTTCTGACCACTTTTTATTTTTTGGATTTATGCATACTTACTTTAATTTCTATAATAATCCCAACAAAGTAGATGATCTTTGTTTGCATGCACGCCATTAAATTTGTCTTCAGTTATTTAATTTAAAAAATGACAGAGTAACCTTTGACAAATCTTCCCATGAACTACAGTTTGTCTCTCTTCTACCTCCTCTCTCTCTCTCATGGCCCCCCACCCACCACACACACATACCTTAT
Organism: Homo sapiens; assembly: GCF_000001405.40. Classification (NCBI taxonomy): domain Eukaryota; kingdom Metazoa; phylum Chordata; class Mammalia; order Primates; family Hominidae; genus Homo; species Homo sapiens. The sequence continues at coordinate 64,033,127 of NC_000016.10, forward strand.
CCCTAACCTCAAGGATGTAAATTCTAATACGAAAGTTAGACAATAAGGCTACAATTAAGATCAAGGGACTCTGATGACCCAAAACACCGTATCATCCTGGAAATTTGAAGAGTTGTTCTGGAGGAAGTGACAATTGAATAGAGGTTTAAACAATAAGGAAAAGTTAGCCAGCAATAAAAAGGAGATGGACATGGGAAAGAACATTCTAATCAGTGATAGGAATATGATGCAAGGATGCAGAAATTAAAGAGAACTGTATACAGCACACTTGAGAATTTCCAATTAATTGAGCATAGCTTGAATGTGGAATGCACTTTGAGCAGTGATAAAACATTTTAAACCCAGAGTGTATTTAATAGATGTATAGCAATGGTCCCCAACCCTTCTGTCACCAGGCATTGGTTTCATGGAAGACAATTTTTCCATGGACTGGGGCTGGGGAGGATGGTTTCTGGATGATTCAAGTGCATTACATTTATTTTGCACTTTATTTCCATTATTATTACATTGTGACATATAATGAAATAATTATACAACTCACCATAATGTAGAATCAGGGTGGGCCCTGAGCTTGTTTAACTAGATGGTCCCATCTAGGGGTGATGGGTGACAGTGACAGATCATCAGGTGCTAGATTCTCGTAAGGAGAGCGCAACCTAGAACCCTTGCATGTGCGATTCACAGTAGGGTTCACGCTCCTATGAGAATTTAATGCCGCTGCTGATCTGACAAAACAGAACTCAGGTGGTAATAGGAATGGTGGGGAGCAGCTGCAAATAATGATGAAGCTTCGCTCACTTGCTCACCCTCCATTCATCTTCTGCTGTGCAGCCCGGTTCCTATTAGGTCACCAACTGGTACTGGTTGGGGACCCCTGATGTATAGAACCTGAGAAAGGATCTCCTAAGCCAGGTGGCTTAAACCCACTTCTGAAGTATATTATTCCTTATCTTCTGAGTCCCTGCAAAATGAGAGGGGAGCCCAGAAAAATGAGTGGGGAACTCAGATCAGTGTATTCTGGAGTGGCAGTGGAATCAGTCTTCCTTCTTCTATATTATTTCCTCCATATCACAAATCAGCTTTGGGTTCTGGACATGCAGAATATAGATAGGTCCAAACTCTCTTTGGAAATAGAAGCCATTATTTTTTGGAAAATCAACACTGGAAAGCAAAGGTATTGCCCTTTTTGGAGGGTGGACAAAGGTGGTTTTGAATAGCTGTCTGGTTGGGTGTTTCTGTTTGCCATCAGTTGTCATATTAATGCATGAGTATATAACATTTTACACTAAGGAAGATGAAAGTTAATTTTTCAATTATGCAGCAAAAATAAATGTATGCCTAACATTATGGCAGGTGCTTTTAGAGATAGAAAGCAGAGTAAAGAAAATAGTCATGTTTGAACTTAAATAGCCAAACTGAATTCAGTTTTTGATGCTGCATTTATTTTTGTTTTGTTGATTGTTTTCCAACGGATCTATGTACTATTTTTCCACACCATACAGATTTCAATGCATGTGAATTGTCATCAGGACATTGGCAGTTTGACATAATGAAGTTCTAATGACTGAGTACATGCTGTGACTAGTCTTTTTACATTACACATAAAGAGCACTTTTATGTGTGTGAGTATATTGGCCCTATAAAAAAATCTTTGCTGTATCTTGCTTGAGCTATTTCATTAATTTCTCAGGCTAACTCCCCGATTTTACACTCTAGTTTCAAAACACTCTGCCCCCTTTCGTTAAGCCAATCTTTATGAGATTTAAGATAGAAGGTTTGAGAATCCTTCAGTGGCTTTCCTAACTCTCAAAGACACTGATCATCCCAAGATCTATTTTTCCAAACTAATGGCACTTTTCTACTGTGTTATTGGGCATCCCACATGTTCTGTTAACCCACATATGCTTCATTAACAAGTTAACAATGTCCATGAAGTTTTTTTTCCTACCTGTTGATTGAATTCTTTGCCTACAACTGCAATTCTCAGATCTATCTAGTTCAAATTAAAATTTCCCCTTTCTTTCCTGATCATTCATTAAAAGTTTTAACCTTCATATCTTTAATGAGGCACTTAGAACAATATGTCTCATATTCCAGTTTTCTTTATTGGATTACAAGTTCTTGACAGACAAACTTATTATCTCCCTGCCTTAGTCTGTTTGGGCTTCTATAACAAAATACCACAGAGTGGTGGCATGTAAGCAACAGAAATTTGTTTCTCATAGTTCTGGAGACTGGGAAGTCCAAGGTTAAGGTGTCAGCAGACTCAGTGTCTGACGAGGACCTTCTCTCTGGTTCATAGATGGCCATCTTTTCACTATCCTCAAATGGTGAATGCGAAAAGGGAGCTCTCTGGAGTCTTTTTTATAAGGGCACTAATTACATTCATAAAGATTGTGCAATAATGAGCTAATCACCTCCCAAAGACCCTATCACATAATAACATTGCATTGGGTATTAGCATTTCAGTGTATGAACTGGGGGGTTGAATAAACATTCAGTCTGAAGCACTCCCCATATCTCTACATCCTCCCCTAAATTATATGCATGCATTGTTTTGTTTATTGTAACAGAACCACAGTTTGGTAGTTCTTTTTCTCAGCTGTATTCCTAGAGGAATCCTCAATATATAAAAAAATCCTAAATTGATTACTCCTTAGTTAGTTTAAATCTTTCCCAACTTATTGCAATATGGAGATAACTGGTTGGTTGTCTTTCAGGGTGAGTTTGATATACAATGGCCATGAAATTAGTCATGGAAAGAAAACCTAGAGGAAATCACATATTTCCCACTTTTACAGCCACCTGTGTCTCCTTCCCATCTTCTTTTTCCTAATCTACACCTTTTTGTACCTTCGTACATTTTGTACACTTTTAATTCACTTTTGTACATGGCTCTACTGTCCTCTGTAAATGTTTTAAAAAAAATGAAAAAAAATACCCTCCAACTCCCCACAATGAAAAATATTTATGCATTTTATTTGTCTTATGGTTTAACTGTGACATATTATCACTATTACTACTTATTTGCAATTATTATTTTTATGATAATTAATTGCAAGCTATTCTAAGTCCTGGGGCTGGTGTGTTTTTTTAGGAACTCTCTAGACATGGGCTGTAGGAAATGAGATCTAGGTTAACCTGAAGGATTATCCCATAAGAAAAAATTATGCTAAAGTCCTTTATTCTTCTTCCTTTTACTTCTACCCAAATATGAGTTTGCGTGTAGTTTCCTATCTAACATCATTTTCTAAGATATATATGTGGTTCATAGCTCAACTCTCTGAGCAAGAAAACATCAATATGGTCTTAAGGATGTTTATCTTTTCTAGCTTTCTGAGTACATGCATTTTCTGTTCACTGTGCCTCAACTAAATTTTATACCAAGAGAAAACCCTGGAGCTTTTTGATTTATGTGGTAGAAATTTCACAAGGAAGTCAAGTACCCACTTTCCTACTTTGGATAGAGAAAAGTAAATAAACACAGATTTCTCCATGACCTTTGTGTGAGCTCTAAATTTTGAGATACTTTGACCCTACACATACTTGCCCTTGCATATGATAGTATTGTTTGCAAACAAATATTTGTTTTCTTATTTTTAAAACAGGTTACATTGTAAACTAGATTTGTTGACAGGGATATGTGGGTGCTATAGAAACTGAAATATAGCTGGTGCTGAAGCCGCGTCGTTGCCTCGGGTGAATACCCAAGATTTGTTTTCTCTTGGTCACGGAAAACTAGGACGCGGACACAGAAAGAATGAGGTTTAGAGCAGAAGTTTAACAGGCGAAAGAAAGAGAAGAGCTCTCTGCAGCAGAGAGGGGTACCAGAGAAATGGGTGGCCAGTTTGGCAGTGGAATGCAGGGGATTTTATACATGAGCTTGAGGAGGTGGTGTCTGATTTACATAGGGCACAAAAGATTGTTCTGTTCGGACCAGGTGTGCCATTTACTTAGCACATGAAAAGCTGGCCACCCCCACCCTAATCTTTTGTATGCAGATGGGTTCTCTACCTGGCTGGTGCCATGTTGCCTGCTTCTTTACTGTACATGTGGTTGACAAAGAAAAGGGAAAATGGAGTCTCCATGTTGAACATGCCTGGACCTCAGGTAGCACTATTCTATTGGCACAGCTGCTGGCATTTACCCATGCAAGCTTCCAGCTTGCTTATCTATGTCTGCAGCTCACTTTTTCAGACTTCTGTTTGTTAGAAAAGAAATGATTTGGGAACTGCTTTTTGTTAAAAAGGGAAATTCCACCAAAGTCTCTTTTACCCTCACTATCTGCCTAAATAATTTCTTTCTAGCTGCTGTATTAGTGCCATACACAGGATGGGCTTTCTGTGTATGTTTTTTTTTTTTTTTTTAAATTATCTTTTGGCTACATTTAGAAAACAAGGAATAGAAAGGGAACAGATTTGGACACCAAACAAGCCTAGTGGACAGCAAGCTCTACAAGATTAGGAACCATGAATGCCCCAAACTCTGTGTGGTTCCAAACTCCTAGCATTGTTGTTGTGCCCAGAAAAAATGCATTTGTTGAACAAAACAAACAAACCAACAAAAAACAAACATAAATGGGATTAAGTTATGGCTCTGTCATTTACCAGCTGTCCTGCTAAGAATTAGGTTATTTAACCGTTAGTTTCTTCTTCATCATTGAAATTAGGATCATACTACCTAGCTTCCTGAATTGCTGCCATATTTAAAGAAATGTGCCTGGCAGATTTTCTAAAATACAACAGATATTGAAGAGATGCTAATGGAATAAATGGATGGATGAATGAATGAATGAAGGGATAGGTGGGTGGATAGATTGATGAATGGATGGATGGATGGGTAGATGGATGGATAGTTAGATGAATTGAAACACTCAAACGGAAAGATGTTGAGGTGCATACGGATACAATCATAAGTTAACTTTACCAATACTTCCTTAAAAAACAAGGAAGTGATTATTGGCTTTAGTCTCTGTCCTAATCCCAAAGTTATTAGCAGAATTCCATATATCCCTTGCACATATAGCTTAAATGACAGCCTTATTTTATCAGATCACCCCTGACTCCCTCACCTACCCCTGCCAGTTGCAAACACATTGGAAAAGAAAGAAAAAAAAAAGATGGCAATACAAGTATTACGTTTTGGCTCCCAAAAGTACCATCTTTGTGCTTAGCATTCATTCTTTACCTTCTTTTCCATTCAGTACTTGACAGGTTTCAGAATAGGAAGCAAAAAGATAGCAACTATTAAATTTGGAATGATAATCTAGCTTCATAAATTAGACTGTTATTCTCCATTCACATTGTGAGAGTTATGAAGGAACATATTTATCTCCTGTTAGAAATTAAACTTCTGGATTTATACTTACATTGACAAAGTTCATCTCTGCTTGTTCTTCTTCTCTTAATGTTCATATTTAACATGTCTTTGAATATGCTAACAATTTGATCATCTTCTTTAACAGCGTACTTAATTTGTCTCTACTTAGCCTTAATTTATGCATTTACTAACTTTTGATACCTTTTAAAAAATAGGTGGGGGTATACTAAAATGTATGTGCTTTTGTGTATGTGTATGTGTATGTGTATGGATGTGAATGCATGAATTCACAGTTGAAAAGAGCAATATCTTTTTTAAAAGGAACTAAACATTAGCCATGCTATGTTTCAGACTATATACTGAATTACTTACTGGCTAACTTCATTAGCATTTCAGTAATGTAATGCTTTAATTGTTCTATGAAATTGCTTTAATCTTCCTCTCCTCAGTAATGAGAAATGCCTCACCCTATTGTAAAACTTTTGAAGTATTGTGTGCAGTTCTGGATCTCCATGACCCTTTCAAACAGCATCTCTGGAAGGCAAAACTTGCTGAACTTTTAAGCATGCCTTCCTAAACCTGAATTTAGCCTATCTAGTCAGCCAATTCCTCCCCATTAACCATTTCCAGTAACCAAGATTCCCTTGTTTCTTGTAGCCCTTTGATTTTGCAAGGGAAGAATTTGATACCATAAAAGTCAAGTCCACACAAAGCAGTAAAAGGATATTATGGTTCATTCAAATATATCTGCTAATTCCCAGGAATTGCTTTTCCTGAATCCACACTCTTGCCTCTCCTCATCTTGAAGACTGTATTCCTGTCTCAGAAATCCTCTTTTCACTCCTTTCCATGAGTGCATTTATCATGCAGTTATCATCTTCTAAGTGAGCTGTAATCATTGAAAAATATTTTGTTTTTCCTGGCTCTATATTTCACCTGGCAATTTTGTCTTTATCCCAAGTTGTTTTGGGATGTCCCCATAGAAAAATTTTTTCAAAACTGGTTTTATAACTAAATGGTTGTGTGTCTTGCATGAGTCATTTAACCTATCTGAGCCTTAATTTCCTCAACTGAGAGATAGGCTCAGTGACTTCTAACTAAATGGGCTATTAAAAAGATTGCATTAAGAATGAAATGTAAAATAAAATAAAATAGCATTTAAATTATAAAATGGAGAAATAAACTATGTCCTACATTTGAGGATGTATCTTACCATCAACATCTATTTCTAGTCTAATAATAAAAGAATGAGAGAAAGAAAGAGAGAGAAATAGAGAGAAAGGCGAGAGGAAAACACGAAGACAGTGGAAAAAAGTGTTCTATGTGTATAGAGAGACAAAGAATAGCCCACGATAGTTAAACTTGTAAATTAAATGATGCTTGATGAGGAAAAGGGCAGGATTTGTGTTGTTTTTATTTTTGTTTTGTTTGAGTAGATTGAAATCAGCAGCTCTTGAGAAAAGTCTGCCTTTTCATTCTAAAAAAGAAAAACTCCTGAAATACATGATTTGCACATGTATTTAATATAGTTACAACAAAAAATTGAGAATAAACAATTTATTGAGTGAATTTTATTTGTCTTAAGACACTGACCTTTCTCTACAAAGATAACTGCAGTTGCCTCCAGCTACGTGACTTACCTGAGATTTCTTTTTTCATTAGTGAAAGCAGTTTTGGCAACTCTATTCTTGAAATGAGATGTCAACCAAATGCTCAAATATTTACGAATTGACATTTTGCGTCTTTTAAATATTCAGTCTTTCAAGGTGCATTCGTTCTCCCTAGTGTATAGCTATGAAGATTCATTTGCAAAAAAAAAAAAAAAGAAAGTCATCGAAATAAAAAGGATGTTTTATAACACATGGCTTGAAATCTTAATGTGGTGCTGCAGATCAATCTAACCAATGAGCATCAAAGTTCAGTTCCAGCATCAGTATTTTTATGATAATTTTCTGGGGTTTTTTTTTCCATTTTCTCCTGTGACTGGGTTATAGAAGCCTCCAGGTAATGTTTGTGTTGTAAAATTGAGGCCAGTAATTTAATCCCCCCATAAAACTCTGCTCACAATTACAATAGCATTGAAATGGTACATAAATGAGTTTTTCATAAAGCAGAAAAGAAAAATGGTGCAACAGTTAAGCTTTTTAATGATGGGCACTAAAGCAATGCTGCTGATTAGATTCTTTGCTAATTACCTTCTGTTACTTAGATTGGATGTATTTCAGCAGAATAGAAACATCTATTCATAAATAGTTGTTTTCTTGGTAGCAATATGAAAACATTTGACTCTAAAGTTGAAAACTACCTCTCAGGATTGTATCATCCGGTCCTCAGCTTGCTGACAAATAAAATCACGTGCCATCTGAAACATGGCTAGAATGGCTTGTATTCCACTGGGTGGTATCCGCCTTACATAAGGAAGTGAAAGGCTGCAGCAGTAATATTTATGCTGAGACTTGAAAACCAAAAGGTCTGGGTGAAGAGCTTTGGAGATGGGGACCAGACTGGAAAAGCACCGAGGCAAAGATGAGCTAAGTCTGTGAACAAAGGAGAAAGTAGTCCAGGATGAATTTAGAGAGTTAGGAAGAAGTGACATGGGCTTTCTAGGCCAGCCCAAGATATTAGTGTTTTAGTCTAAGGGTTATTGGAAAGCCTGGAGGGCCTAATCAAAAACTAATATCATCTAATTAAGTCTTAAGAAAATCACCTGTATGCCCAATGAACAATGGGCTGTGTGAGTTAAAGATGAAAATAGGGATCCATATTACAAGGCTATAGGGAATGAATTGTGACACCTGTACCCCCTGCCAAATTGATATACTGAAGCCCTAAATGGCAAGGTCACTATATTTGGAGATAAGACCTTAAAGAAGATAACTAAGGTTAAACAAGGGTAAAAGTGTAGAATTCTAATCCAACAGGAAAGGTGTCCATATGAGAGGAGGAAGACACACCAGAAGCCAGGAATATACACACACAGAGGGAAGGCTGTGTGAAGATGAGAACACAGTGAGAAGGTGGCCATCTGAAGCAAGGACACCAGGCCTCTGCAGAAACCAGCCTTCCTGGCACCTTGACCTTAGATGTCCAACCTTCAGAGTTGTGAGAAAATAAGTTTCTGTTGATTAAACAGAATATCACCCAGTATGAGATATTCTGTTAAGGCTGCCCAAGCAGAATAATAAATCCAAATGGGGAGAAATAAACAAGGATGAAATGTGTTTTAAAGGTGGAGCCTTCTACCTGCTCATGAAATGGGTATAGAGTAAGGGATAGAGAAATGGCAATAATAGACCTACAGTTATATGGCAGCATCATTTTCTTATTCAGAGACAGACGGATGAGGCGCACTTGAGGGGGAAATTGGTGGTTCTTCTAACATGCTAATTTTGATATTCATTTGGAGATATAAAGACATAGGATATATGAGTAATACTTCAGAAAGTTATATATTTGGAAGTCATTGTCACCTCCTATAAAAGCAATAGTATTCTACTTGTTAAATTTCCAGTTATCCAGAATTTATTGTTTAACAGATGAACTTTAATACCCATATGTGCATGTGCATAAACACACACACACACATACACACACAAACACACACTTGCCAAATTTCAACCAAGATTTATTAAATGGCTACTATATTGCAGGACTGTGATATCCTCTTCGATTGTGATTTTCCCTGGTGAAACACAGAACCTAATATTATTAAACCTGGAATATAGACAAAAAAGCAGACAATTAAAGTACAATGTGATTGTATTAGTCTGTTTTTATGCAGCTGATAAAGACATACCTTAGTCTGGGCAAAATAAAGAGGTTTAATTGGACTCACAGATCCATGTAGCTGGAGAGGCCTCACAACCATGGCAGAAGGCATGGAGGGGCAAGTCACATCCTATGTGGATGGCGGCAGGCAAAGAGAGAGCTTGTGCAGGCAAACTCCCATTTTAAAGCCATGAGATGTCATGAGACTTATCCTCTATCACAGGAACAGCACAGGAAAGACCCACTCCCATAATTCAATCATCTCCCTCTGGGTCCTTCCCACAGCTTCAGAAATGAGCTGGGCTCAGAGCCAGTGGACTAGGGTGGCATGGGAATTAGGGAGACACCAGCTGACACAGGTAAGATAGGGCCTGCACTATTCTTTCACAAACACCAGGCAGTGCAGCTCTTTGCCATAAAAGTGACTCTTTCCTTCTGCTTAAGAAAAGCAGAGTTAAGAGTAAAGACTTTGTCTTGCATCTTGGATACCAGCTCAGCCACAGAATAGGACACTGGGTCGAGTTGTGAGGCCCACATTCCAGGTCCTAGCTCTTGGATGACATTTTTAGACACATCCCAGGCCAAAAGGGAACCTACTGCCTTGAAGGGAAGGACTCAGTTTTGGCAGGATTCATCACTCACTGACTAAAGAGCCCTCGGGCCCCGAGTAATCACCAGCTATACCCAGGGAGGATGGCATAGGCCTTGGGCTCTGAGATATCTTGGCTCCAGGGGAAATCCAGTACATTCCCAGCTGTAGTGGCTACAGTTAAAGTCTCTTTCTATTTGAGGAAAGCAGAGGAAAAACTAAAGAGAACTTTGTCTTGCACGCTAAGTACCAGCTTGACCACAGCGGGTTAGAGCAATAAGCAGGCTCTTGAGGTCCCCAAGTTTAGGTGTAGGCTTTTGGACAGCATTTCTGCATCTACACTGGGCCAGGGGAGAGTCCACTACCCTCAAAGGTGAGTTCTAGACCTTGCAGCTTTCACCAAACTGACAAAAGAGCTCTTGAGTTTAAGAGCTGGCAGTAGCTCTTAAGGTAGTAGCCTGGTGGGCCGCCCCCCAGCCTTCCGTGGACCAGTGGTGGAGATGGCCACAGAATGAGGCTCCAGTGTCCATGGAAAGGAGAGGAAAGAGTGGAAAGTAACTTATATTGTGGTTTGTGTGCCAGCTTAGCTGCAGTACAAGAGAACATCAGGTAAATTGCTGAGGGTTTTGATGCCAGTCCCTGGCTCCCAGACAGCATTTCTGATCAATGGGGCTTGGGGGAGCTCACCACCCTCAAGGGAAGGGCCTTAGGCAAGGCCCAGTGTTGTACTGGCTCCAGGTCTGATCCAGCAAAGTCCCAGTGGTGGTGGCCACAGAGGTGCTGCATCACCACACCCCCAGTTTCAAGTGGCTCAGCACAGAGAGAGAGAGACTCTATATGTTTGGAAGAAAATAAGGGAAAAGGACAAGAATCTCTGTCTGGTAATCCAGAGAATTCTTTAAGATCTTATCCAAGACCACCAAGGCAATACCTCTACAAGTCTGCCAAAGTCACAGCATTATTGGGCTTGGGGAAAAAGTCCATTTGAATACCTTGAAAACCTTTAAGTAAGACAGGCACAGGCAAGCCCAGACTGTGAAGGCTACAATAAATACCTAACTCTTCAATGCCCAGACACCAAAGAACATCTACAAGCATCAACACAATCCAGGAAAACATGATGATTTCACCAAACTAAATAAGCCAGCAGGGACAAATCCTGGAGAAACAGGGATATATGACCATTCAGACAGATAATTCAAAATAGCTGTTTTGAGGAAATTCATAGAAATTCAAAATAACACAGAGAAGGTATTCAAAATTTTATCAGATAAATTTATCCAACAATACATCAGAAAGATCTTTCATCATGACCAACTGGGATATATCCCAGGGATGCAAGGATGCTTTAACATCTGCAAATGAATCATATGGACAAAGTACATATGATTATTTCAAGTGATGTTGAGAAAGCATTTGATAAAGTTCAGTATCCCTTCATGACAAAAAAAACCTTGGTATAGAAGGAACATATTGCAGCATAACAAAAGCCATATATGACAGACCCACAACTAAGATTTAACTGAATGTGGAAAAACTGAGTGTTTCCTCTTAAATCTGGAACATGACAAGAATGCCCACATTCATGACTGTTATTCAACATAGTACTAGAAGTCTTAGCTAGAGCAGTTAGACAAGAGAATGAAATAAATGGTATCCCAATTAGAAAGGAAGAAGTCAAATTATCCTTGTTTGCAGATGATATAATCTTAAATTCTGAAAGACCTAAAGATTCCACAAAAAAACAATTAAAACTGATCAACAATTCAGTAAAGTTGCAGGATACAAAATCATACAAAAATCAATAGCATTTCTACATGCCAACAGTGAACAATCTGAAAAAGAAATTGTAACAGTAATCTCAGTTGCAATAGTCACAAATAAAATTAAATACCCAGGAATTAACCAAAAAAGTGAACGATTTCTACAATGAAAACTATAAAACACTGATGAAAGAAATTGAAAAGCACACAAAAAAGGGAAAGATATTTTATGTTCATGGATTGGAAGAATTAATATTGTTAAAATATCCACACTACTCAAAGCAATCCACAGATTCAATGCAATCCCTATCAAAATACTAATGACATTCTCCACAGAAAATTGAAAAAAAAAAAGACTATAAAATTTATATGGAATCACAAAAGACCCAGAATAGCCAAAGCTATCCTGAAAAAAAGAACATAACTCAAGGAATCACATCACCTGACTTCAAATTATACTACTGAGTTATAGTAACAAAAACAGCATGGTACTGGCATAAAGATAGACACATAAACACATGTAACAGAATAGAGAACACAGAAACAAATCTACAACCTACAGTAAACTCAATTTTGATGAAAATTCTAAGAACATACACCGAGGAAAAGACAATATCCTCAATAAATGGTGCTGGGAAAACTGAATATCCACAACACAGAAAAATGAAACTAGATCCCGATATTTTGCCATATATAAAACTCAAATCAAAATGAAATAAAAGCTGAAATATAAGACCACAAACTATGAAACTACTACAAGAAAACACTGAGGCAAGTTTTCAGGACATTAGTCTGAACAAAATTTTCTTGAGTAATTCCTCACAAGCACAGACAAGCAAAGCAAAAATGGACAAATGGAATTACATCAAGTTAAAAAGCTTCTGGCACAGCAAAGGAAAGAATTAACAAAGTGAAGAGGCAACTCACAGAACGGGAGAATATATTTGCAAACCATCCATCTGACAAGGGATTAATAACCAGAATATATAAGGAACTCAAAGAACTCTACAGGAAAAATTCTAATAATCCTATTTAAAAATGGGCAAAATATTTTAATAGATATTTCTCAAAAGACGACACACGAATGGCAAACAGGCATATGAAAAGGTGCTCAACATCATTGATCATCAGAGAAATTCAAATTAAAACTACAATGAGATATCATCTTGCCCCAGTTAAAATGGCTTATATCCAAAAGTCAAGTAATAACAAAAGCTGAAAAAAATAAATAAAATATTAAAAAAATCTCCAATACTTAAAACTTTTGGGCCAGGTGCAGTGGCTCACGCCTGTAATCCCAGCACTTTGGAAGGCCGAGGTGGGCGGATCACGAGGTCAGGAGTTCGAGACCGGCCTGACCAACATGGTGAAACCCCATCTCTACTAAAATACAAAAAATTAACTGGGTGTGGTGGCATGCGCCTGTAGTCCCAGCTACTCAGGAGGCTGAGGCAGGGGAATTGCTTGAACCTGGGAGGTGGAGGTTGCAGTGAGCTGAGACCATGCCATTGCACTCCAGCCTAGGGGACAGAGTGAGACTCCGTCTCAAAAAAAAAAAAAAAAAAGCTGGTGAGTATGTAGAGAAAGGGGAAAGCTTGAACACTGTTGGTGGGAATGTAAGTCAGTACAATGACTATGGAGAACAGTTTGGAGGTTCCTGAAAAAAACTAAAAATAGAGTTACCATGTGATCTAGCAATCCTGCTGCTGAGTATATACCCAAAATAAAGGAAATCAGTATATCTAAGAGATATTTGCACTTCCATGTTTGTTGCAGCACTGTTCACCACAGCCAAGATTTGGAAGCAACCTAAATGTCCATCAATGAATGAATGGATAAAGAAAATGTGGTACTTGTACACAATGAAGTACCAGTCAGCCATTTAAAACAAAATGAGATCCTGTCATTTGCAACAATATAGATGGAACTGGAGGTCATTATGTTAAGTGAAATAAGCCAGGCACAGAAAGACAAACATCACATATTCTCACTTATTTCTGGGTTCCAAAAATCACAATAATTTAACTCATGGAGATAGAGAATAGAAGGGTGATTACTAAAGGCTGGTAAAGGCAGTTGGGGATAAGGGCAAGGTGGGGATGGTTAATAGGTTAAAAAAAATAGAAAGAATGAATAATACCTAGTATTTGATAGAAAAGGGGGCCTATACTCAATAATAATTTAATTGTCCATTTTAAAATAACTAAAAGAATATAAATGGATTGTTTGTAGCACAAAGGAAAAATGCTTGAGGGGATGGATACCCAACTTCCCATGAAATTGTTATTATGCACTGCATGCCTATACCAAAATATCTCATGGACCCCGTAAGTACACCTACTGTCTACCCACAAAATTAAATATTAAAAATAATTAAAAATAAATTGAAATTTAATTAAAAATAAACAGGATTTTAGACTTTAGATGTCTTATTTTAATTAAGACATACAAAATATTGAAGGAAGAAAAATGAATAAAGGAACATGAATGGAAGGATACTAGAAAGAGAACTATGTTTAAACTATTCTTAATTGTAATTTAATGGCCGATATGTTTTGTGGGGAGTGGAGGATAGATAAATATGGTATCTGTAAATACTATTGAAATGAATTGTGTATTATTCAAAGACATATTAAAATACTTGCGTTGGTTCCTTTGGAAATAAATTATATATTCATTAAGCACTGATGTGGTAAGAAATTTTACCTGAGAGTTAAATGTAGTTATTATTACTAGTATATATAATTTGATGTCAGTTAACTCTAGGCTTATAGCATGTTGAATCATCATACTGACCTGACAAAAATTGGAATTATTATATTACACAGGCAGTAGTCATCCCTTATTCACAGTTTTGCTTTCCACAGTTTCAATTACCTGTCATCAACTATGGCCTGAAAGTAGGTAAATACAGTCAAGTAAGATACTTTTAGAGAGAGAGAGCACATTCTCATAATTTTCATTACAGTATATTGTTATAATTGTTCTATTTTATTATTAATTATTGTTGTTAATCTTTTACTGTGCCTAATATATAAATTAAACTTTACCATATGTATGTATTTATGGGAAAAAAACATAGTATATATAGGGTTCCATACTATCTGGGTTTCAGGCATCCACAAGGGGTCTTGAATAAGGAGGGAACTATTGCAATGTAAATGAGTCATAACAATTTTCCTTATCGCTCCCTTCTACCTCTCCCTCTCCCTTCTTTTCCCTTTGTCTCTTGTTCCTTCTTTCCTGCCTTCTCTCCCTCCCTCCCTTCCTTTTTTCCTTCCTTCCTCCCAACAGCCATGTACTCTTGAATGCAAATCCTTCCTTGATCAAGCTTTCAGATACCACTTTCAGATGAGTTTTAACCAAAATGTGGATTGCAGGCTCATGAGAGATTCTGCAGCAGAGAACCCAGCTAAGCCCTATCTTGATTCCCGACTCACAGAAACTTTGAAATAAAAATGACCATTACCTTAGGCTGCTAATTTTATGGTAATATTGTTAGGTGGTAAGAGATAACTGATAGAGTAAATGCAGCTGGAATGTATTAAGAGTTACAGAGCTGGAATAAGATAAAGATGGGGACATAAGCCTGGGCCAAATTTTAGTGGTCTTTTAGATTATGATCAGAACTTTAGCATTTTTTCCTACATGCAGTGGGAAGCCATTGAAGGAAATGGAGTAAGAATGGTCACATGACCTGAATAACATTTTTTAAAAGATCACTCCAGTCACTGTATAGTGGAAATATTGTGTCTGAATAGATATAAGTAACCTTGAAATTAGTAATTCACAGGAGAGACAGCAGCTCTGTGAACTCCAGTAGTCAAAGGTAGCTTTGCAAAGGAAGAATTGAACTTAACTTTATAAATTGTGTAGGATATGGATGGGCCAAAGAGGAAAGGGAGAACACTCGATGATAGGAAGAAAGGGTTCAGAGTAGTTATGAATATGGGAATGGATGAGCCTTATGTAAAGACAATGGTTACGATTTGATTGCAACAGGAAGTCTACATTAATAAATAAAAATAATTTGGATCAAGAATAAACTGAATTTCATCATCTTATCAGAAAAGAGCAACAGAATGGGAATTGGAGAGTCAGAGACTCAGGGTGAACTCACATTCATAACTTACCGATAATGAGCCTCCCAGAGAGGTTCCTTATAGAAGCTCTTCCAACTGTAGCAATGTGATCAAGGTAAATACTTTTGTCATTCACACACAGGGAGAAAATACTGAATCTATTAAGAGAATAAATTAGTTATGAAGACAGATTATGTGCATCATATGACAAAGTATCCATATGGAGCGCACTACATCAGAACTCGGGTAGAACTTTAAACATGTGAATGATAGAAGATAAAAGTATAACATTCTTTAATTTTCAACCGTTTCAATGGGCTGGGAGATCAAACTTTAGGCATTTTATGTCTAAACTGAGTGCAGAAATAGGAGGATTCAGAAAGTGTACTGAAGTTGATAGCTGAGGACCTGAATGAAAAAAATACCTCAACTTTATTTTGTGACAACAAAAAGAAACTAAGATAAATAAATAAGAACAGAATTTCATATTTGAGATATGATTACCTTTCAATATCTGTATAGCTCTGTGGAGGGTAAAACCCTCTCTTGTGTCTGCTTTCTGTTTAGAGAGAAAGCACAGAGAGAGTTTCCTCTCAAATCATATCCTAGGTTTCTCAGGAACAATGCCTTTAAAATGTGTCAGTCTCTTGCAGCTGGCAAAATGCCTCATCGGAGCTCAGGTACATGACAGTCTCTACTCTTGGAAGAACAAAGTGGAGGCACAAAAGGCCTCTTGTGAACAGCCTCTGGTGTTTTAATACTGTGAATTTCTACCCATCTGGCAACACTGTGTGGTATCTAGGAGAACACAGGGTACAAAAAGTGTTGACCACTCAACAGTATAAGTGCTTCACAGTTAGTACTCTAAGATTATTTACATTAGACCCCAAATAGAGTTTGCTTTTAGTGTGGTTTGGTGAAGTTTAACCAAACAGTCGTCAAAGACAAACATTAGGGTTTGCATCAATATCGAGCCTCTTTCCAACTTGGGGACTTTGACTAAAAACTTATAGTTCTTACAGTAAATTATTGTGAATATAGGACAATTTTCTTTTCTCATACAGTTCTAGTGATAATTATATGTGAATACACACTTAAATATTTTTGCTGGCACAAACTATATTAGGTAATTTTTAGTTACTTTACGTGCCATTTAATGTTTACACTATCCCTATAATGCAGATATGATCTTTATTTTTTCAGATAAGGAAGCAATTTAATATCTTCAAACTTAAATCTACCTAAATTTAAACTTATTTTTATAATTTATATTTATATAATTGATGTTATAAATGAGGAAAAAAATCCAGCCATAATTTATCATCAGTGGATGAATGTTATTCATACTCTGGTATGTTCAATATAAACTTCACATCTAGTTACATATTTAGAATAATATACAGGTGTTATACTCATTATTAAAATGTATTTTTCTCCTTACAATGTACTATATACATCTTACCATGTAAACATATTCATTTTTATTTTCCACTGTTAATTTTCAAGCACTCAATACAAATATCTTTAACTATTGGACACCCAAAAAACATTTGTTCTGTGAATGAAATAATTATCTTTGTTATTCTGTTGTTTAAATTTTTCATAGATTATTCAGTAAAATACATGTTGTTAAGCACATAGTACGAGGGTAGACAAATATGAACCTAAACTTTTTTGACTATTTCCTAAAATTCCTCTATTTTTAAAAACATTTACTAGAGTTGAATTAAAGGGAGAAAAATATTAAGGGCCAAAAATTATTTTAGTTTTTCTTCCCATCATTATACAATGCTACTATCTCAGCTAAACTTGATAAAGTATAAATAATAAATATTCTCATTATTGTCAAAGTAGAAAACTCTGTCTTTAAATTCTATTTTATTTTTCTTATTATTACTAAATGTCAGCTCCCCACAAGCACTAGTGAAAGATGAAGAATATTCATTAGTAAGTTATGTCTTAAGAAAAAACTTATGGTGATGAAATTCAATATGTAAAGATGTATGTTGACCAAGATTTGTTACAAGTAGCTAAATTCAAAACTGCTTTTAAAATAAAAATATCCAGTGAAGATATGCTAATAGCCAATAAGTATATGAAAAGATAGTGAATGTCATTAGCCATTAGGAAAATGCATATCAAAACCAAAATGAGATACTACTTTACACCCACAGGGTGGTTAAAACAAAAAGACAATTACAAGGAATACCAAGAATGCTGAAAAATTAAAACCCTCATACTTTGATTGTAGAATTATAAAGAGGCACAGCCACTTGGGAAAACAGTCTGGCAGCTCCTCAACTGGTTAAAGAAGTTACCAGAAGACCCAGCAATTTCACTTTTAGATATATACCCAAGAGACCTGAATGTACATGCCCACACAAAAACTTGTATATGAATCCTCATGGCAGCATTATTCATAATACCCCAAAATGGAAATAACCCAATTGTTCATAAATTGAAACAACAATAACAAAATGTGATATATCCATACAATGGAATATTATTCAGCCATACAAAGAAAAGAAGTAACAATTTATTCCACAACAGAAATAATTCTTGAAATCATTATGCTAAATCAAATAAGCAGAACACGAAAGAGAAACAATCAGTGCTGTTTAAAATGGTGGGATCAAACAAGCTGGCTTCACTTCCCTTACCTTCATACACACACGAATGTATATCTATATCTATCTATCTATCTATATAAGTACATATATATATGTACACACACACTATAACACACACTATATATAATATACACACAAATATGTATATTGGAATATATATATATACACACACACAGTGCTGAGATTATCAGTAGCAATATTGCAATATCCAACTCAAAATATGAGGATGAAACAATTCGCAGGGCCACAGAGAAGTGTACAAACTCTAAGACTCAGACTTCCACATTCACAACACCCCACCCTTCATCTGCCTGGCACCAAGCACATGAAAAATTTTCCCCAAATTTATGGTTTCTACAGTGAAATAAATGAGATTGAGGTAGACAATCCTGCTTCCCCACTATCTTGGATTTCCTGGCAGAAGACATGTCCCTGCCTCAAGCCACAGGAAGCATCACAAGTACCTTATGGGAGAAATATCCGTGATGATAGCCAGAGACAGAAGAGAGGTGAGACTACCATCCTTACCCTCAGCCTCAGGCCTGGAATCTCTCCTCTGTAACTCAGCCAAAGATTTCATATCAGAGTGGTTATGTAGTAGCACTGCATTGTAGGGGGTAGGTACCACAGGTCCCCTGGGCACAAACCTCTAGCCAGCTCTCCCAAACTGCTATAATATCCTCTTAGGAACCTTCCCCCAATCTGGACAGGCAGTATTCTGATATTTTAATAGAGTTGAAACAAACCTGGGCTTAAGGTGCCATCTAGTGCCAAAGAGAGAGAGAGCAGAAACAAAAAATAAAGAGATATTCAATAGGTAAACTACAAAGACTCTCTATGCAAATATTTCCAATAAACAAAACAGCTAGACAGAGAAGACTGGAATAAATAACTAGTCCCTCAAGGCAAAGATACAGACAATAATCTAAACAACAACAACAACAACAGTAAGCAGGAAACCATGATCTCCTCAAACAAACAAAGCAAAGAATCAGTGACTGGCCTGAGTGAGATAACAAAGTGTGAGCTCTCTAACCAATAATTCATAATAGCAGTTTTACGGAAATTCAGTGATTTCCAAGTTAACACGGTACAGCAATTCAGAAATTTATCAGAGAAATTTAAAAAACAAATTGAAATAATAAAGTTTTTAAACAGAAATCTTGGAACTGAAAAATACATTTGCTGAATTGAAAACTCATTAGGGACTGTCAACAACCAAATGGATCCAGCAAAGGAAAGAATCAGTGAGCTCAAAGACAGCCTATTTTAAAATTCACAGTCAGAGGAGAAAAAAAAAGTGAGAAGGAACAAAGATTCACTACAAGACATAGAAAATTACCTCAGGCTGGGTGCGGTGGCTTATGTCTGTAATCCCAGCACCTGGAGAGGCCGAGGCAGGAGGATCACTTGAGGTCAGTAGTTCGAGACCAGCCTGGCCAACATGGCAAAACCCCATCTCTACTAAAAATACAAAAATGAGTTGGGTGTGGTGGTGCATGCCTGTGATCCCAGCTACTCGGGAGGCTGAGGCAGGAGAATCATTTGAACCTTGGATGTGGAGGTTGCTGTGAGCCGAGATTACACTGCTGCACTCCAGCCTGGGCAACAGAGTGAGACTCCATTCCCCCTAAAAAAAAAATTGCCTCAAAAGATCACATCTGAGAAATATTGATGTTGAAGAAGTTGAGTAAGAGAAAAGAATAGAAAGCTTATTAAAAAAAATAAAGAATAACAAAAACTTCCCAAAACTTGAGAAAGAGATAAATATTCAAGTACAGTAAGGTCAGAGAAACAAATGTGACCCCCGTAAGACTACCCCAATGACATAGTTTGAATGCCCTCTTCAAATCTCATGTTGAGATTTAATCCCCAGTGTTGGAAGCAGGTAGGAGGTCTTTAGGTCTTAGGGCCAGATCCCTTATATAAGGCTTGGTGCCGTCCTCATGATAGTGAGTGAGTTCTTGTGAGATCTGGTTGTTTGAAAGTGTGTGGAATCTTCCCCTTCTCTCTCTCGATGGTGCTCTAGTCATGTGATATGCCTCCTCCTGCTTCATTTTCCACCATGAGGAAAATGCTCCTGAGGCCTCCCCAGATGCCAAACAGATGCCAACGCTATGCTTGTTCAACCCACAGAAAAATGAGCCGATTACACCTCTTGAATAAAATAAACTCTTGAACCTCAAGGACAAATAAAGTATTCTCAAAGCAGTAAGAGAAAAGAGGCAAATAACGTAAAAAAGATCTCCAATTTATCTGGCAACAGACTTCTCAATGGAAGCCACACAAGCTAGGAGGGACTGGGACAATATTTTCAAAGTGCTGAAAGAAAAATAAACTGCCATCCAAAAATCCAGCAAAGCTATCCTTTAAATATGACCAAGTCTTCCCCAGAAAAACAAAAGCTGAGATAATTGACCACTACCAGAACCATCTTCCAAGAAATGCTAAAAGGAGTTCTTCATTCTGAGAGAAAAACAAAACAAAACAAAACACTAACGTACAAAAAGAAAATATTTGTCATTTCTTTAAAAATACTTGTCGTATCTATAAAATGTTTTTTGTAAGCCTCATGGTAACCACAATGAAAAAACTATAATAGAATCACTAAAAATAAAAAGCAAGGAATTAAAATATACCACCAGAGTAAATCACTTAACCACAAGGAAGATACGAAGGAAGAGAAAAGTTACAAAATAACCAGAAAATAAGCAACAAAATGGTAGTAGTAAGTTTTTACTATCCATAATAACACTTAATGAAAATGAATACAATCCTTCAATTAAAAGACATAGAGTGTCTGGATGGATAAAACTGTGAGACCCAACTATGAGCTGCCTACAAGAAACCCACTTGACCTATAAAGACACGTATACCCTGAAAGTGAAAGATATTGCATGCAATAGAAAACAAAGAATAGGAGTAGCTATACTTAGAAAAAAAACTAGAAGTTCAAGACTATAAGATGAGAAAAAGAAAGTCATCATATAATGATGAAGAGATCAATTCTGCAAGAAGATAAAACAATAATAAATATCTATGCACCCAACAATAAAGCACACAAATGTATATAGCAATCATTGATAGATCTAAAGGAAGAAATAGACTGCAATATAATAATATTAGGGGACTTCAACATGCCACTTTCAGTAATGAACAGATCTTCTAGACAGAAAACCAACAAAAAACAACTTTGGAATTATTCTACATAATGGACCAGATAAGCTTAACTGACATTTACCCAGCTCTTTACCCAGCAGCTGCAAAATACACATTCTTTGCATCAGCGCCTGAGCCAATTCTACAGAATAGACCATATTTTAGGCCACAAAACATATTTCAACAAACTTAAAAAAGTAGACATCCTGCCAATTATCTTTTCTAACCTCAATGGAATAAAACCAGCAATTAATAACAAGAGGAACCCCAGAAACTACACAAACACCTGAAAATTAAGCAACCTTCTCTTGAACAGCCAAGGGGTCAATGAAGATATTAAGACAGAAAATTAAAAACTTTTTGAAACAAAGAAAAATGGAAAGACAATAATTTCTTCCATAAATATTGCTAGGTAAACTTGGTAACCACATGCAGAAGAATGTAACTAGACACCTATCTCTCACCATATACAAAAATTAAATAAAAATGGATAAAAGTATTACATCTGAGACCTGAAATTATGAAACTAATACCATAAAGCTTTTGGAAAGTACCTCAGGACATAGGAAACTAATAGCATAAAGCGTTTGGAAAATACCTCAGGCAAAAATTTTGTGTAAGACCTCAGAAGCACGGGCAACAAAAGCAAAAATAGAGAAACAGGATACATGAAGCTAAAAAGCTTCTGCACAGCAAACAATCAACAAAGTGAATTGTCAACCCACAGAACTGAATAAAATATTTGCAAGCTATCCATCTGAAAAGGAATTAAAAACTGGAATATATAAGGGGCTCAAATAACTCAATAGCAATAAAATGAATAATCTGAATAAAAATGGGCCATGGATCTGAATAGACATTTCTAAAAAGCAAATGTACAAATGGCCAGAAGTATATGAAATAATGCTCAACATCACTAATCATCAGAGAAATGCCAATCAAAACCATAATGAGATATCATCTCACTCCGGTTAAATGGCCTATATAAAAAAGACAGGCAATAACAGAGACTGGTGAGGATGTGGAATAAGGAGAACCCACATACACTGTTAGTGGGAATGTAAATTAGTACAGCCACTATGCAGAATGGTATGGAGGTTCCTCAAAAAATTAAAAATAGAACTTCTATATGACCCAGCAATTCCACTACTGTGTGTGTATCCAAAAGAAAGGAAATCAATATACTGAAGAGATATCTGCACTCCCATGCTTATTGCAGCACTATTCCCAATAGCCAACACATGGAATCAATCTAAGTGCCCATCAAAGGATGAATTGGTAAAGAAAATGTGGCATATATACACAATATAATATTATTCAGGCACAAAAAAGATTTTTATTTTTTACTTTGCAGCGATTGTGAAAGTTAGCTGTGGGTTTGTAATATGTGGCCTTCATTATTTTGATGTATGCTCCTTCAATACCCAGTTTTTTGAGGGTTTTTATCATAAAGTGATTTTTTTTTTTTTTTTGAGGAGTCTTGCTCTGTCGCCCAGGCTGGAGTGCAGTGGCGCAATCTTGGCTCACTGCAACCTCTGCCTCCTGGGTTCAAGCAATTCTCTGCCTCTCAGCCTCCCAAGTAGCTGGGATTACAGGCTGCCGCCACCATGACCAGCTATTTTTCATATTTTTAGTAGAGATGAGGTTTCACCATCTTGGTCAGGTTGGTCTTGAACTCCTGACGTTGTGATCCACCCACCTCGGCCTCCCAAAGTGACGGGATTACAGGCATGAGCCACTGTACCCGGCCCATAAAGTGATGTTTTACATTATCAGTCCTGAGGTGTGCTCTTTCTCTGGGTCACTACTCTGCCTGGGGTTGCATCCTCACCACCTACACTCTGTGCTCTCTGACTGTACCACACTTTCCATGCATCTGCACAATCTTTAAGAGAAGACACTCGCTGAGTTTTATTCACCAGAATATCCTAAACCATAGCACAGTGCTTGGGATCCAATAAACATTCCATAAATATTTTGCTTATGGGATAAAAACATTTAATGTTTTTAATGAAAATATATATATATTAGAGAATGTGTGGCATTTAATAGTGTTTGAGTTGATCGTGGTATTGTGTACCAGCAGATACGGATCAGGTTAATTTATTTTAACCACCTAAATAAGTCTCAAATATCAAAACATAAGTCATTTGCTCATACATGACCTTTCTCAATGAATTATTAATCTTTCAGTAATTGAGCTTTATTAGTGTACATGTCAAATCAACTCTTTGAGAAATGTCAGGCATCTCAAATAAACAGGCATCCTCCCAATGGAGTGACAATGTCGGAAAAGGAGTCAAGTGAATAGACAGGTATGTCCTAAGGAAGAAAATATAAATTAACAATGACTTTATCAAGATTCCACAAGGCAAACATTTAATAATCACCTTCAGCCATTTCTCTCTATACAGCAACACTATCTCTTCTTGGTATCTATTTAATTAAATAGTCTTTACACAAAATCAATAATTAGTCACTCTGAAGACAGTTGAGGGATTTTAAGGTCAGCACAAGTCATAAATAGTCAGCTTTACCAAGTCAAACCAAATCACTGAAAAAATTACAAAGAAAATTCAGACTTGGAAAGGGTGGCTCTATGTAACTAAAAGGAGTTTCTAGTATTATTGGTCATTCAAAGGGTAATTTTGTCAGTACAAAATCTACTTCCTTAGTAAATAATACAGTGAAGACAAACAAACTACTTAATAACATGCAAACATTGCTTTAAGGGTAATACCTTGACTTCTTTGCTTCTTGAAAAGTTTGTGGTCATAAAACTAGCAATTATTTATTCCATACCTATACCTATTTTATACCAAGTATTGTGCTAGGTACTTTCATATATAACTTCTAGTATAACTGCAATTAACATTAGATATTATAATCCATCATCTTGTCAGAGTCTAGAATGTTAACTATTACACAATGGAACTCCATACAATCTGGCATTTTGGTAAAGAGTAATCTGATGCCGATAAGAGAGATAACTTTGCCCGCATTAGAGACATACTAAATGGCAGAACTGGAATTCAAATATAAGGCTATTTGACGCAAAAGCCAAAGTTTTTCCTCTAGTAAATTAGATCAAATGAATATATAAATAAATAAGATAATAATGAATGAGTTATGAGTTTTGCACTACTTCATAACATGGCAATATAATCACTTAATTTCAGTAGCCCTTTAAAATATTATTACAGAAATTGCAAACACTACATATTTTAATGATCCCCCAGATAACCCCTTTATCTAGTATCAACAATTGTCAACTCATGGATTATTCTTCCTTTTTTTTTTTTTTTTTTTTTTGAGACAGAGTCTCACTCTGTCACCCAGGCTGGAGTACAGTGGTGCGATCTCCGCTCACTGCAAGCTCTGCCTCCCGGGTTCATGGGACTCCCGAGTAGCTGGGACTACAGGCACCTGTCACCACGCCCGGCTAATTTTTTGTATTTTTAGTAGAGATGGGTTTTCACCGTGTTAGCTAGGATGGTCTCCATCTCCTGAGCTTGTGATCCGCCCGCCTCGGCCTCCCAAAGTGCTGGAATTACAGGCGTGAGCCACCACACCGGCCTATTATTTCATATATATAGATATATATATACACTCTATTTCTCCCATCTCTGGATTATTTTGAGGCAAATTTCAGACATATTATTTTATCCTTAAGTGTTTCAGCGTCATCTCTGAAACATAGGGTTTATATATCTTTAAACATTCAGAAAATCATTATCACATATTAAATAATAATTTGTTAACATTATCAACTATCTAGCCAGCATCCAAAGTACCCAGTTACTCCATTAATATTGTTATCTCTTACAGTGTGGTTTTATGCGTCAGAATTCATAAAACAGTCATAGATCATGTTCTAGTGATGTCTCAAAAACCTTATTAGTCTATAGATTGTCTCTGTCCCTCACTCTCTGCCTGTATTAGTCCATTTTCATGCTGCTATGAAGAGATACCCAAGACTGAGTAATTTATAAGGAAAAGAGGTTTAATTGACTCATACTTTCGCATGGCTGGGAAAGCCTCAGGAAACGTACAATCGTGGCAGAAGGTCAAGGGGAAGAAATGTACCTTCTTCTCAGGGCAATAGGAAGGAAAAATGCTGAGCAAAGGGGGAAATGCCACTTATAAAACCATCAGATCTCATGAGAACTCACTATCACGAGAACATCATGGGGGTAACCGCCTCCATGTTTCAATTATCTCCCGCCAGGTCTCTCCCATGACATTATCATGGCATAGTGGTGGGGATTATGGGAACTACAATTCAAGATGAGATTCGTGTGGGGACACAGCCAAATCATATTATTCCATTCCTGGTCCCTCCCAAATCTCATGTCCTCACATTTCAAAACACAATCATGCCTTTCCAACAGTCCCCACAGTCTTTGCTCATTCCGGCATTAACCCAAAAGTTCAAGTCCAAAGTCCCATCTGAGGCAAGGCAAGTCTTTTCCACCTATGAGCCTGTAAAATTGAAAGCAAGTTAGTTACTTCCCAGATACAGAGGTATAGGCATTGGGTAAATAAACCTGTTCCAAATGGGAAAAATTGGCCAAAACAAAGGGGCTACAGGCCGAATGCAAATCTGAAATCCAATAGGGGAGTCATTAAACCTTAAAGTTACAAAATGATACCTCCTCTCTCTTTTTTTCTCTTCTTATAATTTATTTGCTGAAGAACCAGATCATTTGCCCTGCAGTTTCCCTCAGTTCACATTTTGCTCATTACACCCACAGTGTATTATTTAACATGACCATTTGTATCCTGTATTTTCTGCAAACTGATAGGTCTGAGTCAGGGTTTCTCAATCTCAGTACTGTTGACATTTTAAAAAGTTAAGTTATTCTGATAACTCTTGGTTGTGGGGGGCCTTCTTGTGCTGTGTAAGATGTTTAGAAGCATCCCTGGCCTCTACCCACTAGATGACATTAGTACCTCCCCATTTGTGACAATGAAAAAATGTCTCCAGATATTGCCAAATGTCTCCTGGAGACAAAATTGCACCTGGTTGAGAACACTGATCTAGGCCAAAGCTTTTATTGTTTTGTCGTTCTGTTTTATTTACTATTATTAGGTTGGTGCAAAATTAATTAATGGCAAAAACTACAATTAATTATGCACCAACCCATATTATTTCTAGACTAATTCCTAGGAGATGTTGTCTTCTTTTGTCAGTTCTCTCTTTTATTGATGGTGGCAGCCTTCAATGAACATTTTCCATATCTATAAAATCATTGCAGGTTGCAGAATGGTGACTTTCTACTTCTACCAATTCTTTTGTATTTGTTTGTTTTCTTTTTAAATTTGTTTCTGACTGAGATATTTCTATTAAGCGAAAGTTTTTCTTATTATTTGGTTAGTCTGAGATAAAGTTGGTATAATAAAGGCAGAATAATGCTTGATGTTTTTTCCATTTACCAGTTTACAAAAGCGTAAGTCCTAGCCTTCTCCAAGGATACCTAAAACTGATAATTTTTGTTTTGTCTACATAATGGTGAATTTTTGATAAAATCATATTACATAAAGTTAAATCCATTGTAATTAGTATTCCTGTAGATGATCTACTTATCTTTGGCAAATATGACCTCTTCAGTTTGACTACTGAATTCTTTAGTTTTGATATGACTATGCTAGTCTTTGAGTACTTCCTTAATATTTTGTATAAATAAATGTTTTAGGTCAATCCTTTATATTTCCTGCATAGGCCTAGAATCAGGCATTTCTCCAAAAGGCTCTTGTTCCTTTTATTAAAATCTGTTACTACTTAACTGGTAATAATTATATTTGATTTCCTTAAATTACTACGGAAAATTATTTATACTGCTTAGATGGTATTAAGGGAAAAAATATTTATTTTTGCAAGTCTTATTATAGCAGTACCTATGGACTGTAAAGATATTGAAGACACAATCCTTGTACCAGCAGCAGCTAGTAGAGAATAGCTGGTGTCTCAGAAATGGTTGCTATGCAAAGGAATAAATGGTTTCTAGTGGAGTAATATTAGCGACATTAACATCTGTGCTGAGATATCAAATGGACATATTTTCAGTAACTTTGTCTTCACCAACATTCAAACTTGGTTGCAAAGAAAGCTATCATTTTGAAAAAAACATAGATCTTTATTAAACGAACTCAAAATACATTAAGCAGGGTAGCAATGATTTTAAGTTAAAAATAAAGCTATCTGTCCACATTAAAAAAGAATAAGAGTCAAAGAAAATCACATTAATTTTCACTACCTGTAGAACAAATCAGCAAATGTTGTGACCATCTGTGAAAGACACCAGGGCCACATAAGACATGGAATTATTTAATGTGTTAAATCCATTTAAAATGTTTGTATCCTGTTAGTTCTAACATAATTACTACGTTAATTTCTGTGTGTTTTGCATATTAAACGGAACGCACTCTGGGAAGCTAATGGCTGCTATGTCAGCTTTTTTATTAAATCACAAAATAAACATGCACAATGCTGCTTCTGAAGATAATTAGTTTACTATTTCTGCCAAAGTTTAAATATTGGGTATGCTTTGAAGATTTGACTTCCATTTGAGGTGGCAGTGGGCATGTGGTAGCTTCTAGATTCTTCAGATTATCCTCAAGGCAAGAGCATTTTTAGAGGAGAGAGAATTAAAAAGTTTTGTTTTCATTCTTTACCCTTAATTTTTAGCATTGCAGTTATAAAAATAACCAACATAAGTCTATAGCGTAGTTCTACATAGAACTATACTAGATAATGGGGGATGGAGCTGACGAGTGTAAGTGTTTCTTGGTGCAAAGCATTTTAATCAAGTGTGAAATATCAGATGCAAAATAGTCTAGATTACACTGCTTTTTTTTTCTTTTTTTTCTGAGATGGAGTCTTGCTCTGTCACCCAGGCTGTAGTGCAATGGTGCAATCTTGGCTCCCTGCAACCTCCACCTCCCAGGTTCAAGTGGTTCTCCTGCCTCAGCCTCCCAAGTAGCTGGGATTACAGATGCCTGCCAGCACACCTGACTAATTTTTGTATTTTTAGTAGAGACAGGGTTTCACCATGTTGGCCAGACTGGTCTTGAACTCCTGACCTTAGGTGATCTGCCCACCTTGGCCTCCCAAAGTGCTGGGATTGCAGGCTTGAGCCACCGAGCCCAGCTGATTACACTGTTTTTAAGCAAAAGCCACATGAAGTTGACCAGAAAGCCCTTGCCTATTCCAGCTCCAGAAATAATACGCATATCTGTTTGACAAAGATGAAAGTGAATCAAACTGAGCCAACATCAAAAATAAAAGCAAGACCAAATAAGCCTATGAACAGTTGCAGGCTGTTTCCAGTGAGCTTCACTCACATTCTTCTCCATAGGGCCTTACCACAAGCCTGATCCACACACCACTGCCACATGCTTGCCATGGTAGGCATTTAAGGTCAAGATCACTGCTTCAGAGAATACAAAGTATGCAGCCTGTGTTTCCTCATCTAGTTCTCACACCTTTTCTGAGCAATAACCTGGGAAGATACTTTTGTGTGGTGGGCAATTGCTATTGTGGGGCCTCTGATAGACTTCCTTTAAGCTCAGCTCCATTGACTATATTTGATATAATCTCAGGCATGTCCCTTTAGTCCTCTGAGTCCAGTTTCCATTCTTATAAAGTAGAAGCAACACTAAAGTTGTCATATATCTTTTGCAACATCAAGTGAGATAACTATGCAAAGAACAAAGTCCTGCTCCTGGCATATGACACATGCTTTATATGTATGCAATTTACATATACTTAAGTTATGATTAATATTTGTTTATTTATCAGTAGTGGCTTTTTAGGGGGATAGAAATGCCCAGTTTTATTTCTTTAATTCCAAAGACAGACCATGGACGATCTTGGCTTCTAATGCTAAAGAAAGAATGTTAATAATATTAAGTTATAGTAATGTTAAGATATTTTATCGAATTTTAATGAGTTTCTAAATACAAAAATTAACATACTAATTTTATCTTACTAAATATCTATTCCTATTATTTAAATAATATAAAGTAATTGTTTTATTTGCCATCTGACACTATAAACTTACTTTTCGAACATATTTTACATATTTTTTTCTCATTTAGTCTTTCCTCATTTCATCTGAGTAATGAAATGGGGACCGGTATTGATGTATGTAATGATCTATACCAGGAAATCCACAGTGGTTAATGGAACTGACCAAAGCTAGTGTGTGACAAAGTCAGGAGCAAATCCCAAGTGTTATTGCAGCTAGCTCAAGACTGGCTTCATGGCAGGGCTCAGTGGCTCACGCTTGTAATCCCAGCACTTTGGGAGGCCAAGGCGGGCAGATCACTTGAGGTCAGGAGTTTGAGACCAGCCTGGCCAACATGTTGAAACCCCGTCTCTGTGAAAAATAAAAATGTTAACCGGGTATGGTGGCACACCCCTGTAATCCCAGCTACTCGGGAGGCTGAGGCAGGAGAATCAATTGAACCCTGGAGGCGGAGGTTGCAGTGAGCTGAGATCGCACTACTGCACTCCAGCTTGGATGACAGAGCAAGATTCCTTCTCAAAAAAAAAAAAAAAAAAAAAGAAAGATTGAAAGACTGATTTCACCATTCAGATGATAACTTTCCTAAGGAGAGTTGAGTATTAAGTATATTTCTCCCTTCTGATTGGAACTTTCTCCTTTTTGATTTCTTCTTATTTTTTTTGGTTGCGTTCACGAGAAAATTCCAAAATTCAGCAGGTGAAAGGAAAACTTTCAGATTGATTTGCATCTCTAGTAACTGTAATGAGGTTAGCATTTTTAAGATTTTACACAAAATTTGTACATAAAATCATCCTAAAGCCTTTGCATTCATAAAAAATGCTTATTATTTTTGTTGACTCAAGATCATTCTTATTTTCATCAATGATTACCCTCAGCTATAATAAAGTGAAACCCAAAGGCAGCATTCCCTAAAGTGCATTCTGATGATGCATAATTAAGCCTTCCTGGACAACTGCATGCAAAATTAACCACCCTTTTTTCAGTGCTTTGAGTATTTGGTCGTCTTCCATAGCAGTTTTCATAACATCATTTTTATCCAGGTTTTCTACTGACATTATGTAGAGGCGTTAATTTGTTTTGTGACTTTTGGCCAAGTCAGCCAGTGTCCTTAATATTCAGTCTCCTGATCTGTAAAATGGAGGACAACAATACCTTCTTTATTGTGTCTTTTGAAAGGATTTAGATGATTAATTTTGCAAAATATCTGGCACAAGGCTTACCATTTAGTAAATCCTCAACACATGTGGATATCCTTCAGTTCTGTATCACAGATGATTTTTTAATGCTGTATTAAAAAATTAAATAAGTAAATCGATTCTGTTTATTGTTCAGTAAAGATTATTCTAACCACTACTTTCTGGAATATATCAGCACAGTAGCAAATAATATTATAAGGTGTATATATTTTTATGTACCTTTGTTCAATAGCTTTAGAGAATTTAGGTTTACTTTGCCCCTTCTTTCTATTTTACCAAATTACATTTTCTCCAGAGCTGTTCTCAGCTATGCTACCTCAAGTAGTCATGGTGGTATTCTTCCCAAGAAGTACAGGGTTAAAACTATAGGTCAGTCTTAGCTGACCCTCTTAGGAGCTCACACATTTACCCATGCCCTATTACTCTTGAACCAAACATTAGGGCTAAATTATGTTTGACCTCCAGAAACTTTATTTCCCAACAGGGTTTTAAATCTTTCACATAAATAAAGACCTGGCAAACCTCTCCCTGTTTTCTGTCCCTAGCCTGGACAGAAGAGTATTTTGAGTAAATGCAGTTTAAGACTAAGTTGGGAATGTTCTTTTTGTTTTAAATTCTTAACTTTTAATTTTTGTGGGTACATAGTAGGTGTATATATTTATGAGGTACATGAGATATTTTGATACAGGCATACAATGAATAATAATCACATCAGGGTAAATGGGGTATCCATCACCTTAAGCATTTACCATTTATCACTTGTCTTACAGGTATTTTAATTACATTATTTTAGTTATTTTTAAATGTACAATACATTATTTTTACCTGTAATCATCCTGTTGTGCTATCAAACACCAGATTACATTAATTCTATCTAACTATATTTTGTACCCATTAACCATCCCAACTCCCTCCCCCAACCCCTCACTATCCTTCTCAACCTCTATTAACCATCTTTCTACTTTCTATCTCCATGAGTTTTAACTTTTAGCTCCCACAAACGTGTGAGAACATTTGAAGTTTGACTTCAAATGCTTGACCTACTTCACTTAACAAAATGTTCTCCAGTTCCACCCATGCTGTTGCGAAAAACAGAATCTCATTCGTTTTATGACTGAGTGGTACTCCATTATGTATAAGTACCACTTTTGCTTTATCCCATAATCTATTGATGGACACTTAGGTTGGTTCCAAATGTTGGCTATTGTGAATAGTGCCACAGTAAACATGGGAGTACAGATATCTCTTTGATATACTGATTTCTTTTTTTGGGAGGGGATATATACTTAGCAGTGGGATTGCTGAATCATATGGTAACTCTATTTTTACTTTTTCAAAGAACTTCCATGCTGTTCTCTATAGTGACTGCACTAACTTACATTCCCACCAACAGTGTACAAGGTTTCCTTTTTCTCCACATTCTCACCAGAATTCGTCATTTCCTGTCATTTGAATGAAAGCTATTTTAATTAACTGGGGTGAGATGATATCATGTTGTAATTTTAATTGGTATTTCTCTAATGATCAATGATGTTGAGCATGGGAGTATTTTCTTAGGGTCTCCACTTTATTTACAGCTGGTGCTCAATATTCATAATGTGACATGCTCATGGAACTTGTAGGGTGACCCATTGTCCAGGTTTACCTGGGACTGAGAGCACTCCTGGGATATGGAACTTCCAATGCTAAAACTAGAAAAGTCTAGGGCAAATAAAAAACATTTTGTCATCCTATGTTGGAAAAGACCATGAAGTAAATAGTTTCCATGCATAACACACCATCCATTTGTTGAATTATGCTTTTTATCTCTTGTACTCTGTCACATCTTTTCCAGGATGTAAACTCATTGAGGAGAGAGCCTTGGCTTTAGTCCCTGTTATAAGCCATGTTAGTTACATGGTAGGTTCTCAAAAGGTTTTTGAAGGAAGAAAATAAGGGAGGGATGGAGGGAGGGATGGAGGGAGGGAGGGAGGGGGGAATGGAGGGGGGGATGGAGGGAGGAATGGAGAGTTGGTGAGGTAAATCAGTAAAAAGAACAACAGAAGAAAGAAGAAAGAAAAGGTGCATTGAGTATATGCTTATTTGTCTCTTTCAACGTCTTTGGCACCATTAATGGAAACTGATACATACAAGGGGAATATTCCAGAAACTTAAGATTTTTCCTAGGCTGTAGACAATGAGTGACCCCTTGAACCCTAAAACATGGGTAAGCAAGAGTTGCTTGCAAACCACTGATACCATGACTGCAAGTACTGAACAATGTTAAAAATTTCAAAAAGGCGTACTTCCTTGTTTCAAACTGTCATAGGCGATAAAAATCAGATTCATCTATATCTGCTGTCTTACAAGTCTAAGAATTCAGACTGATATACAATCATTGCTAATACTTTCCATTCAACCACACACTGCTTAACTCTGTCATGTTATTTTCTCCTGACTGAAATATTAAATCCTGTATTACATATACTTCTGCCTGTTTTCCCTAGATCCATGAAAGTACTTTAGATTATTCCGCCTAATTCTAAAAGGGACTGACTCTTTGGGTCTAATTGAAAATGAGATGATGGTTCCAATTCCTTGGCATGACATCCATGACCCTTCAATGTTGGAAGTGAAATGATTTCTCAATCTTGTTTTTTGTCACTCCCCTTCGCAGATGGGTCAACATTCAATCCCATGGAATTCTGTCTGATTGGGTCTTGAGGTTTGGATTTAGGCCTGTTTATGATCAGGTCTTTCCATACATGACCTACCATAATTTGCTTTGGCAAAGGCTGTGACATCTGCGTTACCACTTTTGACACATCCACCCCTAAAAACTTTGCATGCATGTGTTCTGAAAAGCCACTGGTCAAAAGTGATCATCCTTTTACCAATTTCACTGTAGAATTTAATATCTTAAATTAGAATTATTTATTTAATTGTTTTACTTACCATGATCTCTATGAGAGGGTTGAGACTTTCATCTGCATCTCTCAATTCTTAGTATCTAGCACAATGCCTGGTCCAGAAATACAACTATGGATATACTAAATAAACATCAACAAACAATGCTACATAAGGCTTTATAAAAGTATTAAGCGGCAGGCCGAGGTGGGCGGATCATGAGGTCAAGAGATTGAGACCATCCTGGCCAACATGGTGAAACCCCGTCTCTACTAAAAATATAAAAATTAGCTGGGTGTGGTGGCACATGCCTGTAATCCCATCTACTTGGGAGGCTGAGGCAGGAGAATCACTTGAACCCCAGAGGCGGAGCTTGCAGTGAGCCAAGATTGGGCCACTGCACTCCAGCCTGGCGACAGAGTGAGACTCCATCTAAAAAAAAAAAAGAAAGAAAGAAAAAAAAGTATTAAGCAAACTCAGACATTATTAATTGTAAGGCATAAAAAATATTGAAAAAACTTTAGTGGCTTTTTCTGTTCTTATTCATCCTCTTATTTTCAGTTTTTTAAAAATAATTATTAATTTAATCAATTCTTCAAAGTTTCAAAAAGTTTAGTATTTATTTTAAAAGCAATTTCAGTGTACCTAGTTGTGTACTTTTTCTAATGAATTTATGTTTTATTGAAGTCCCTTTGAAAAAATTTAAAATCTAGATGCAGGCCAGGTGCAACAGCTCACACTTGTAATCCCAGCACTTTTGGACGCCAAAGTGGGTGGATCATTTGAGCCCAGGAGTTTGAGACAAGCCTGAGCAATATGGTGAAACCCTGACTGTACCAAAAATATCCAAATTATCTGGGCATGGTGGTACGTGCCTATAGTCCCAGCTACTCAGGAGGCTGAGGTGGGAGGATCACCTGAGCCCACAGAGGTCAAGGCTGCAGTGAGCAGTGATTGCACCACTGCACTCCAGCCTGGGTGACAGTGGGAGACCCTGTCTCAAAAAAAAAAAAAAAATAGATCTATACAAGTAGGAAGAAATTTGCACCGTACCTATAGCTACTTCTGGGATATTCATTGCATAAGGTAGGGTTTTCAATGTGTTTTTATTGAGCCTCCCCTGTGAAACAGGCTGTCACATGGAATAGTCATGGTAAATGTTTTACACTCTCCTTTCAAAGTGGACTAGTTGCAAATTTATGGCAGTACTATAACAATTTTGGACATCAGCCTCAGTTTGCTGCACATTTAGACAGGCAAAGTTTTAAATGAAATGTAGTGGTATGATTCTACAGAAGTGATATTAATGTAAAAAAGATCTGTTTTTACACAAGTATTCTGAACTCCTTATATCTTCTTAAGATTCAAAAGCGGCTCTGACACATATTGTCAGTGTGACCTTGGGCAAGCCAGTAGAACTCTGTAAGCCACAGTTTGCTCTTCTGTAAACTCCTACAAATAATACCGTCAGTGCAAGTTTTCCTGAAGATAAACAAAATATAATATACATGTTTGCAGAGTGCCTGTTTCAAGAAACTGTAATTTACTTCTTTCATCCTTTTGTTCCTGGAATTTTAAACCCCTGCATTTCCCATAAAAGCTGTCTCTCACATTTTCCCAGCCTGGAACTTGCCGTCTCTCATCCAGTCTTCAGAAAGTCAACCTCTGGGTAATTTCCCTAGTATCTTGACTGAGATGTGTTCTTGCTCTCCAGTATTTGCCTCTGTCTTCCCAGGCTCATTTTTAAGCTCACTAGAGATGATGTATATGAAACATTTCTGATAATAGTCTATTTCCTTCTTTTTCCAATATTATACAATCTAATCTTTATTATTTCAGAATATGCGGTTATTGTAGAAGAGGCAATATGCACTGTTGTTTCAAACATTTCTTTTTTTTTTTTTTTGTGAGACAGAGTCTCGCTCTGTCACCCAGGCTGGAGGGCTGGAGTGCAGTGGTGTGAGTGCGATCTTGGCTCACTGCAATCTCTGCCTCCTGGGTTCAAACGTTTCTCTTGCCTGAGCCTCCCGAGTAGCTGGGATTACAGGAGCCCACCACCACGACTGGCTAATTTTTTTTGTATTTTTAGTAGAGAGAGGGTTTTTCCATGTTGGCCAGGCTGGTCTCAAATTCCTGACCTCAAGTGATCCGCCCGCCTTGGCCTCCCAAAGTGATTGGATTACAGGAGTGAGACACAGCGCCTGGCCAAACATTTATTTCTTATATCAGTATCTAGCTTGTATGCCCCTGCAATAGCTAAATCTCATTGTCAACCAATAGGACTTGCCCTATGCTGACTCCACACTATGTTTTGGGCATTTTAATTTTGGAGATTAGCTATTGACTATTGTGACAGTTGTGAATAGGAAAATAAAGAACACACACACACATAAACACAATTTCTCTCTGTTGGCATTTAAATATGGCCTGACCAATGGAATGTAAGAAAACATCAATGCATTAAACGCAGCCACCAATAGTTGTTAAAATCTACACCCTTACATTTGTATTTGTGGAATCACAATATCTTTTTAAAAAATAGATCTTTTTAAAATTTTAAGTTTAGGGGTACAGGTGCAAGTGTGATATACAGGTAAATTCACGTTAAGGGAGTTTGTTGTACAGATTATTTTGTCACCCAGGTATTAAGCCTAGTACCCACATTAGTTATTTTTTCTGATCCTGTTTATCCTCCCACCCTCCACCCTCCAGTAAGTCCCAATGTCTCGTTCCCCTCTATATGTCCATGTGTTCTTCTCAGTAAGCTCCAACTTATAAGTGAGAACATACCCTATTTGAATTCTCTTGTTGTGTTAGTTTGCTATTGATAACGGCCTCAAGCTCTATCCATGCTACTGCAAATGACATGAGTTTTTTTTATGGCTGCATAGTATTCCACAGTGTATATGTACCACATTTTCTTCATAGAGTCTGTCATTGATGGACATTTAGTTAATTCCATGTCTTTGCTATTGTGAAAAGTTCTGCAATGAATACATGTGTGCATGTGTCTTTATGATAGAATGATTTATATTCCTGTGGGTATATACCCTATAATGGGGTTGCTGGGTCAAATGGTAGTTTGGTTTTCAGTCTTTGAGGAATAACTGCACTGTTTTCTATAATAGTTGAACTAATTTACATTCCCACCAACAGTTTATCAGCATATATTTTTCTCTGCAGCCTCATCCGCCCCTGTTATTTTTTGACTTTTTAGTGATGGCCATTCGGACTGGTGTGAGATGATATATCACGGTGGTTTTGGTTTGTGTTTCTCTAATGATCAGTGATACTGAGCTATTTTCTATGTGCTTGTTGGCCACATGTAGGCCTTCTTTTGAAGGTGCCATTTATGTGCTTTTCACACTTCGTAATGGGGTTGATTTTTGGTTGTAAATTTGTTTAAGTTCCTTATAGATGCTGGATATTAGATCTTTGTCAGATGCATAGTCTGCAAACATTTTCTCCCATTCTATAGGTTGTCTGTTTACTCTGCTGATACTTTCTTTTGCTGTGCCGAAGCTCTTCAGTTTAACTAGATCCCATTTGTCAATCTTTGCTTGTTTCCATTGCTTTTGGCATCTTGGTCATGAAATCTTTGCTCATTCCTATGTCCAGAATTGTATTGCCTAGGTTGTCTTCCAGGGTTTTTTCAGTTTTGGGTTGTACATTTAAATCTTTAATCCATGTTGAGTTGATTTTTATATGTGATGTAAGGAAGGGTTCTAGTTTCAATCTTCTGTACATGGCTAGTCAGTCATCCCAGCACCATTTACTAAATAGGGAGACCTTTCTCCATTGCTTGTTTTTGTTGACTTTGTCAAAGATCAGGTAGTTGTCAGAGTGTGGCCTTATTTTTGTGCTCTCCATTCTGTTCTGTTGGTCTATGTGTCTGTTTTTGTACGGGTACTGTGGTGTTTTGGTTACTATAGCCCTGTACTATAGTTTGAAGTTGGATAATGTAATGCATCTAGCTTTGTTCTTTTTGCTTAGGATTCCCTTGACTATTCGGGCTCTTTGTTGGTACACCAACAACAGTCAAGTGGAGAGCCAAATCAGGAAATCAATCCCACTTACAAGTGCCCCCGAAGAATAAAATACCTAGGAATACAACTAACCAGGGCAGTGAAAGATCTCTACAAGAAGACCTACAAAACACTGCTCAAAGAATTCAGAGATGACACAAACAAATGAAAAAACATTCCATGCTCATGGATGGAATGAATTCAACATATTTAAAATGGCCATGCTGCGCCAAGCAATTCACAGTTTCAATGCTATTCCTATCAAATTATCAATAGCGTTCTTCACAGAACTAGAAAAAGAACTATTTTAAAATTTATGTGGAACCAGATCACTTCATAATTGGCCAAAGACACAAAATCTCACTAACTTATTAAAGAGAGGCAGTCAGTATTACCTTTTGTGCATTTAGTTTTATCCTCCCTAGACTGTTCTTTTAGGCAAACTCATGTTCTAATATCCCACTAAGTTTTTGAAGGGCCTCTAGGGGATTTGACACTTTCAATCTTTGTAACAGCACAGTCTTGCTAGGTTTATCTTCATTAAAACCACCAAATGGCTTTTTTAAAGTCACACAGTTAATAAGGAGTAAAGCCACTGTTTTGCCATTCTATGTATTTAGTTAAC
Source organism: Homo sapiens (assembly GCF_000001405.40). Classification (NCBI taxonomy): domain Eukaryota; kingdom Metazoa; phylum Chordata; class Mammalia; order Primates; family Hominidae; genus Homo; species Homo sapiens. The sequence continues at coordinate 64,071,199 of NC_000016.10, forward strand.
ATTTACTAGGTGCCAGGTATTACTTTATAACACCAGGGAACCACTGGTGATCAAGACAGAAAAAAAATCCTGGTCTCATGGAGCTTTGACTCTAGTGCATTGAAAGATAATGAAGATGTAAACAAGTAAATACATTAAATTTTCAGAGATTGAGATAAAATCAACACAGTGGTGAGATTGAGACGATGAGAAAATAGTTACTTTAAATCTCTTAGGAGATGCTATCTGAGAAATGACACTGTGTCTGGAATTGATGGGTTCTTGGTCTCACTGACTTCAAGAATGAAGCCACGGACCCTCGCGGTGAGTGTTACAGCTCTTAAGGTGGCGCGTCTGGAGTTTCTTCCTTCTGGTGGGTTCGTGGTCTCGCTGGCTTCAGGAGTGAAGCTGCAGACCTTCGTGGTGAGTGTTACAGCTCATAAAAGCAGTGTGGACACAAAGAGTGCACAGTGGCAAGATTTATTGCAAAGACCAAAAGAACAAAGCTTCCACAGTGTGGAAGAGGACCCGAGCGGGTTGCCACTGCTGGCTGGGGCAGCCTGCTTTTATTCTCTTATCTGGCCCCACCCACATCCTGCTGATTGGTAGAGCCAAGTGGTCTGTTTTGACAGGGCGCTGATTGGTGTGTTTACAATCCCTGAGCTAGACACAAAGGTTCTCCTCCTCCCCACCAGATTAGCTAGATATAGAGTGTGGACACAAAGGTTCTCCAAGAACCCACCAGAATAGCTAGATACAGAGTATCGATTGGTGCATTCACAAACCCTGAGCTAGACACAGGGTGCTGATTGGTGTGTTTACAAACCTTGAGCTAGATACAGAGTGCCGATTGGTGTATTTACAATCCCTGAGCTAGACATAAAGGTTCTCCAAGGCCTCACCAGAGTAGCTAGATACAGAGTGTGGATTGGTGCATTCACAAACCCTGAGCCAGACACAGGGTGCTGATTGGTGTGTTTATAAACCTTGAGCTAGTCACAGAGTGCCGATTGGTGTATTTACAATCCCTGAGCTAGACATAAAGGTTCTCCACCTCCCCACCAGACTCAGGAACCCAGCCGGCTTCACCCAGTGGATCCCGCACCAGGGCTGCAGATGGAGCTGCCTGCCAGTCCTGCGCCCTGCGCCCGCACTCCTCTGCCCTTGGGTGGTTGATGGGACTGGGCGCTGTGGAGCAGGGGGTGGCGCTCGTCAAGGAGGCTTGGGCCACACAGGAGCCCACGGAGGGTGTGGGAGGCTCAGGCATGGCGGGCTGCAGGTCCTGAGCCCTGCCCCACGGGAAGGCAGCTAAGGCCCAGCGAGAAATCAAGCGCAGCGCCAGTGGGCTGGCACTGCTGGGGGCCCTAGTACACCCTCCGCAGCCGCTGGCCCGGGTGCTAAGCCTCTCATTGCCCGGGGCCGGCAGGGCTGGCCGGCTGCTCCGAGTGCCGGGCCCGCCAAGCCCACGCCCACCCGAACTCCACCTGGCCCGCAAGCGCCGCACGCAGCCCCGGTTCCCGCTCGCGCCTCTCCCTCCACACCTCCCTGCAAGCTGAGGGAGCCGGCTCCGGCCTTGGCCAGCCCAGAAAGGGGCTCCCACAGTGCAGCGGTGGGCTGAAGGGCACCTCAAGTGCCGCCAAAGTGGGAGCCCAGGCAGAGGAGGCGCCCAGAGCGAGCGAGGGCTGTGAGGACTGCCAGCACGCTGTCAACTCTCAACACCTGAAGTATAAGTAAAGGTTGAGAAAGGAGTCAGGCTTGCAAAATTCTGGGAGAAGTGAACTTCAGAAATAGGGAGGAGGAAGTGAAAATATTCTTAGCAGGACTGAATCTTCAGTCTCCCAATTCTCAACCCCTTGCTTTGTCCAAACTCAATGCCAGTTCCTTTCTCCACCTTTGTTTAGAGAAGATATTTGTAGATAAACTTGTGTTTATGTAAATCCAATCTTTATTGATACTTCAGTTGTGTCTCCATAATGACCCATTCCATTTATAAATGTCATCATCTGGCACTCTATATATCCGCTATAGTGCAAGTTGGAAGATGGAGCACTTTTTCATTTCTCTTCCAACATTGTTTTCTGCCTAGCACATTAACATATAGCTCAATTAACTACAGCTCGGCTCTAATGAGGCCAGTTGTAAATTCAATTCTTGTATAAGCCACTTAGCTTTTTATTTTATTGTAACCAAAAGCTCTCTAACTGATCCGAGTCTCATTAGTTCCCTCTAGGTCAGCAACAATGCTAGCTTTCTATGCTACTCTATCTCCCCCCAGTTCCTCCCTGTGTTCCTGTTATAGGGCCCTCCACAGAGTAAATGCTTAATTAATCATTTCCCAATCAGTTTTTTTTTCATCTTTTTAAGTTGTTTGCAAAATAGAACTTTGATTTGTTGTAAATTGTATGTTAATATTTATATGATTTTTTTTTTTTTTTTTTTTTTTTTGGTAAAAAACTTAGCCTTTACAAAACATCAACCCAACCTTTGGGTCTGTGGCGGGTTCATTGCTATTCCCACCCTTTCATGCTCAGATCCACCTGTGCTTCAAGGAAAATTCAAATGCTTCCCTCTTCTGTGAAGCTGTTCATGATTCAGCCTCCTTTCCCAAAAGTCCCATCACATGTTGCTGTCTGACATCTGACATGTCAGAGCAGAACCGCTTCTGCAAGTTCTAAGCTTCTTGAGTGCAGGTTTGATCTCTAAATCCTCCTTAAAACCTCCAAAGAATCTACTTTTCTGGTGAGAAACATTAGATTTGGAGGTAATCAGAAATTGGTGAAATTTTTTTCTACCTCTTTCATTAAATAAGAGAAATTATTCAGAGTCCTTTGATTATGTGAGGTTCAGCTTTATCTCTTGAAAAACAAGTGTGATAATCTCCATCTCATATGTTCATTGTAAGTACCCAATGAGAAAATGTATATACAGAAAATATTGTGTAAGATTCTAGTTCTGCTACTTAATAGCCCTGAGATTAGAAAAGTTATTTAACCTGTCTTAACCTCAACATCTTTATCTATAAAATGTAAAAATTGATGGTTCCAACCTTTTAAACTCATTTTGAAAATTAAATGAGAAAATGAATATAAAGTACCTGACATAATTCTCAGTATATATTAATAGTTTGATAAATGCAATTTGTTGATTTGGCTATTGTTATGGTTATATGTCAGTCACAGTGCCTGGTACATAGTAAGAATTGAATAAATACTATTTACTGAGTATTGTAGCTAATACTCAGATATTTATTGGTTATTGGTTGTGTGCTTAGACCATGTGCTAGCGACTCTGCTTAACATTTGTGATGCAAAAATGCACACAAAAGATGTAATTCCTGCCAGATGAAGTTTATGGTCACTAAAACATACATTAAACATATAATTTTATCCTGCATATAAAATATATTCAATGCATGGAGTTGCACAAATGTAAGCTTTTATGGGTGAACGAGATATACTGAAGAGTAGTCAGGGTTCTCTGTACAGATTCTGAGTCAGAAATGCTATCCTACTGCATGAAAGCATTTTTCAACTCTTTTTAAGAAACATGAATTTTTCTATAGATAATAAACCATCAAATCGAGAAACCCAGACAGTTTTTACATTTGGCTCAAAAAGCAATAAATTCAACAAATGTAAAACACATCTACTGGGCAAAACTCTTTCCCAGAACCAAAACAAAGTGGAAGAAGGAGCATTTCTGGCAGTTTTCCCCAATTTTTTTTGTTGCTTCTACAAACTGCTTCTGCAAGATGTACTTCGGACAACTGAATTATGAGCCTTAACTTTAGTATTGTTCCCCCAATTTATCTTCTGTGACTCAACAGAATCTGATGGGGAGCCAAAGTCATAATTTAGTTGTTCTAAACACTTATTATCAAGGGAAAGAAAAGCATCGTGTAAATAAAAACTTGGAAAGCACACATGTATGTATATACAAATATATATATGTATATATATATATTTCTTCAGACTTTTACAAAGAGGATGCTAAGACTTTCTGGTTTGGAGTTTTATGCCACTGGAGGGAAAAGAATTTAAAAAACAAAAGAGAAAGAATTCCCATCTTCTACTACCTGGATCATACTTTAAATCACTCTTCAAATTATCATTCTCCTTCCTTTCTACATCGATGTATTTATTTTACCCTCAGCAGTAGAAATAATTAATCATTGCTCTATTGGTAATGCCAGGTTGATATTTTGACCCTTTCAGCAATCTCTTTTTATACAATGCATATTATTTAGTTGACTTCCTTTTGTAATTACCACTAAGAAAAACAATCATACTGTACATATGTTTTGTGCACATTAAAATAACTGACTTTTAAAGCGATAGTATCATCACGTCAATCCAATGATACTAAAAAGAAACAGTAAATGTTCTTAATGTAACATTAGTATATGCATTTTTCTATAAAATTAAGAATATATATATTAATAGACTGCTTCTGTAATAATGGTATTACTTATAGAGGCATTGTGCACATTGAATGTGTGTGTGAGAGAGAGAGAAAGGGAGAAAAGGCAGAAAAAGACACTTATGATTTCAGCAAAAATATAATCTGCTGCTAGAATCTTGTTGTTATATTCTTCCTTTTTTGCCTTTGAGTAGTGTTTCTAGAATGTTTATATTAGACTTTGTACACACTTGTTATATTCTGCATTTAAATGTAATATTATAATATAAGCTTGTTCTCATGATATTCCTGGAAACATAATTTTCATGGCTGCTTAACAATCCCATAGAATGTGTGCACATATGGTAGGATGGACAGAAGTTTTCTGTCTCCATCCCTTGGAATCACTCCATCCTCACTCGTGGTTGGAAAGATGTCATGTGAGCGGAATAATTAATTGAACTTACGTTGTGTGTGGTTAGCAATGCTTTTAAGGGTGAAGTAGGATGTCTTCAGTGCTCCATGATGAAGAATTCCCACTGACACCACTCAAACTAAATGCCAGTGAAATAAGATGGGATTTCCCAGTGGACGTACGAAGTAGAGGGACAAAGCTGGACCCCAAATGAAGATTCAGAAAAGGAGGAAAAAGAGGAAATGGGATCTAGGCCAAGGGTCTTCTGAGAATCTAGTAGAAGAAGATGTCTGAAGTACAGGTGACTAGGGAGAGTGGAGGAAAATCTGTGCCATCCAACAGACTCTGGTATATTTGCAACCATAACCATAACTATCTAAGTTAGAGTCTATTGAAGGTTAACTGAGCTTAAATGTCCTTTTAATAACTGCAAAATATGAGTGTGGACACGAAAACTTTGATTTAAACAACAGGTTCTTGATAGAGCATTCTGTGTTTGAATGTTTATGGACTCTAATAGTCCTGAAATCTTGAAGTATTCTTGATGTCTGCAGTAGGATGGGATGGGGGAGAGAAAACCAAAAATCTGACTGAACATAGCCACAGATTGTCACTTTATTATCTCAACTCAACTTATATTTTGTTTCTGCTGCCTATTATTTACTTATATAATTATTTCCATTTCTGCCTCCCCCATAAGCCTGATACCAAAGTGTCCAGCACTTAAACATTGTGTGTGTACAGGCAAATCTCATTTTTTTGTGATTTGTATTATTGTGCTTCACAGATATTTCATTTTTTATAAATTGAAGATTTGGGGCAACCCTGCAATGAGCAAGTGTATCAGCACCACTTTCTCCAATAGTGTGTTCTCACTTCACATTTCTGTCATGTTCTGGTAATGCTTGCAATATTTCAAATGTTTTCATTATTATTATATTGAAATTACATATTACATATATTCATATATATTATATTATTGTTGTGGTAATCTGTGATCAGTGATCATTGATGTCACTTATTATCATTGTTTTGGGGTGCCACAAACTGTGCCCATATAAGACCGCACATTTAATTAATGTGTTGTGTGTGTTCGGACTGCTCTACTGACCATCCATTCCCCCATCTCTCTCCCTTGCCTCAGGCCTCCCTATTCCCTGAAACATAACAATATTAAAATTAGGCTCATTAATAATCTTAAATGGCTTCTAAGCATTCAAGTCAAAGGAAGGATTGCATGTTTCTCATTTTAAATCAAACGCTAGAAATGATTAAGCTTAGTGAGGAATGCATGTCAAAGCCAAGATAGTGAAAAATCTAGGCCTTTCGCATCAATTAGCCAAGTTGTGAATGCAAAAGAAAAGCTCTTCAAGGAAATTAACTGTGCTACTCCTGTGAACATACAAATAAAAGCAGAACAGAAAGTATTGCTGATGTGGAGAAAGTTTTTGTGGTCTAGATAGAAGATCAAACCAACCACATGTCCTTAAGCCAAAGCCTAATCCAGATCAATGCTCTAACTTCTTTCAGTTCTATGAAGGTTGACAGAAGTTGATAAAACTGCAGAAGAAAAGTTTGAAGCTAGCAGAGTTTAGTTCACCAGGTTTAAGGAAAGAAGCCATCTTTATAACATAACAGTGCAAGGTGAAGCAGCAAGTGCTATTGTGGAAGCTAAAGCAAGTCATTTAGAAGATCTAGCTGAGATAATTGATGAAGGTGGCTACACTAAACAACAGATTTTCAGTGTAGACAAAACAGCCTTATCTTGAAAGCAGATGGCATCTAAGACATTCATGGCTAGAAAGGCGAAGTCAATGCCTGGCTTCAAAATTTCAAAGGACAGGCTGACTCTCTTGTTAAGGGCAAATGCAGCTGTTGACTTCAAGTTGAAACCAATGCCTATTTACCATTCCAAAGATCCTAAGGCAACAAAAATTATGTTAAATCTACTCTGTCTGTGCTCTAAAATGAAAAAAAAAACCAAAGGCTGGATGACAGTACATTTGTGTACAGAATGGTTTACTAAACTTATTTATTTATTTATTTATTTATTTTGAGACAGAGTCACACTCTATTGCCCAGGCTGGAATGCAGCAGCCTGATCTCGGCTCACTTCAATCTCCACCTGCTGGGTTCAAACGATTCTCCTATTTTAGCCTCCTGAGTAGCCAGGACTACAAGTGCACACCACCACGCCCGGCTAATTTTTGTATTTTTAGTAGAGATGGGCTTTCGCCATGTTGGACAGGCTGGTCTCGAACTCCTGACCTCAGGTGATCTACCCGCCTCGGCCTCCCAAAGTGCTGAGATTATAGGAGTGAGCCATCACACCTGACCCTACTGAACGTTTTAAACCCACTACTGAGAGCTACAGCTCAGAAAATAAATAAATAAATAAAAGTAAATAAATAAATAAATAAAAGTCTTTCAAAGTATTACTGCTCATTGACAATGCACGTAGTCACCCAAGAGCTCTAATGGAGATTTACAAGGAAATGAGCGTTGCTTTTATGCTTACTGACATAACATCAATACTATAGGCCACGGATCAAGAAGTAATTTTGAGTTTCAAGCTGTATTATTTAAGAAATACACTTTATAAGGCTATAGCTGCGTAGGTAGTGATTCCCCTGATGGATGTAAGCAAGAGAAATTGAACACTTTATGAAAAAAACTCATCATTCTAGATGGCATTAAGAACATTTATGATTCATGAGAGGAAGTCACCATATCAATTAATAGAAGTTTGCAAGAAGTTGATTTTAACCCTCCTGGATGAGTTTGAGGGATTCAAGACTTTAGTAGAGGAAGCAAATGCAGATGTGGTGGAAATATCAGGAGAACTAAAATGAGAAGCGGTACCTAAAGATGTGACAGAATTGCTGCAATCTTATGATACAATTATAATAAAGAGTCACTTCTAGCGGATGAGCAAAGAAAGTGGGTTCTTGAGATAGAATCTACTTTTGGCAAAGATGCTGTGATCATTACTAAAATGACAACAAAGGATTTAGAATAGTACACACGCTTAGTTAATAAAACAGTAAGAGGTTCTGAGAGAATTGACTTCAATTTTGAAAGTTTTATTGTACGTAAAGTACTATCAAGAAGCACTACATGCCATGGACAAATTTTTCATAAAAGGAAGAGTCAATTGATGTATTGTCTTCACTGTTATCTTATTTTAGGAAATTATAGCCGGGTGCAGTGGATCACGCCTGTAATCCCAGCACTTTGGGAGGCTGAGGGGAGCAGATCACTTAAGGTCAGGAGTTTGAGACAAGCCTGGCCAACTTGGTGAATCCCCGTCTCTACTAAAAATACAAAGCTGGGCATGGTGGTGGGCACCTGTAATCCCAGCTACTCAGGAGGTGAGGCAGGAGAATTGCCTGAGCCTGGGAGACAGAGGTTGCCGTGAGCCGAAATTGCACCACTGCACTCTAGCCTGGGCGACAGAGTAACGCTTTGTCTTCCTCCACACCACCCCCCTCCACCGAAGAAAAAAAAAAAAGAAAAGAAATTGCCACAGCCAGCCTGGCCTTCAGCGACCACCACCCTGATGAGTCAGCAGCCATCAACGTCAAGGCAAGACCCTCAACCAGCAAAAAGATTACAGTTCGCTGAAGACTCAGATAATTGTTAGCACTTTTCAGTTTTACAGTATTTTAAAATTTAAGTATGTATGTTGGCTTCTTAGACATAATACTACTGCACACTTTGAGTACAGTATAGTGTAAATATAACTTTTTTATGCACTGGGAAACCAAAATATGCATGTGCCTTGTTTTCCTGAGATAGTCACTTCACTCTGGTGGTTTGGAACGGAGACTGCAATATCTTTGAGGTATGTCTGCATATATATGTACATATATATAGATATATATATATGATGTATGACATGTCGATTTAATTATATCATTGAAACTTTTCCCATACATTGATGGAACAATCAAATACTGGTCAGAGAAATAGTATGAATTTAAAACAAACAAAATATACCCATTTAAAAAAAAAAGGTTTGTGCCATGGTTAAATCCCTGATGTACTGAAAATGTCGATTGAAACATCCAGTGCCCAAGAAATGTGGGGAAATGAATAACTTACTCACCATTTGGTCCAAAGTTTTCTCAGCAATCAGTGCAAGAAAATTAAAAGGTTGAGAGGTGCAGATGGGGTTTGTTCTTTAAAGGGAAGTGCTGATCTAAGGGAAGAGCCCCTTGGAAATTAATTAGAGCCCAGCTGGAAGTCAAAAATATAGAACATAAATGGTCCTGTGCTCCCCCAACCCATGCCATGCAGATAAAGCCAGAACGCATTTTCTGATACTCCCATCCTGAATTAATCATTCGTTCCACCACGCATGCATGGTAATTCACGTCAAACACCATTTGGAGTGCATATTGCACTGACTTCTTTTAAACTTAGTTGTATGCTCGCCTGTCTTTCCTCCTGAATTATAAGCCTTTTCAGGAGGTTAGCAAACCTCTCATGTAGAGCATAATATCAAAAATGTTCTGTATTTAATTGACAAGAAGCACTTAAGATTAAAATGTGATTTCTTCAAACATGAGTTTATTCATATGTGAGAAAAATATATAGAATATTTAAGCTCATTTAATATTATTGCTGATATTACCAGCTTTTTGTGAAAAGGGAAAGCATATGTGCTGACATTTGTATATGAGTGAGAAAATAACTGGGAGGAACAGATAGATCAACAGGAAAAGACAGAGAGCTGGCTCAATATGTCTTAAAGATTTCTTTTTTAAGATAGTCTTTAACTTGACATTAAAATAATTATATTGAGTGATTTCCCAGATATATTAACTAATTTAATTTAACCAAGCACTAAAGTTTATATGTTTAAAAATAGGTGTGATTTAAGATAACAGATATAAGAATAAAAATATGATAGAAAGTATACAAAATAAACTATTCAAATCAGAACCAACTAAAACATTTTTTTCTAAAACCAACCTGTCACACAATTTCAGATTTAAGATTTTTGTATTGGGTTCTATTTGGCTCATTTGAGGATAAGCAAAAATATTATCACTTCCAAAAACAAACTGCGTCTGGCATGGTGGCTCACGCCTGTAATCCCAGTGCATTTGGTGGCTGAGGAGGGAGGATCACATGAGGTCAGGAGTTTGAGACCAGCCTATGCAATATAGTGAGACTCCATCTCTACAATAAATAAAAAAAATTAGCCAGGTGCAGTAGTCCTAGTTACTTGGGAAGCTGAGGCAGGAGTGTTGTTTGAGCCCTCGAGTTCAAGGCTGCAGTGAACTATGATCATGCCAGTATAACTCCTGTCTGGGCAATAACAAAGCAAGACCTTGTCCCTAAAAAATTAACATCAAACAATCACAATCTGAAAACACTGACCTACAAGTCCCTTTCTTCTCTAAAAATCAGTATATCAATGATATTTTAAGTTTGGCCCAGAAATAAGCATTTAATAAATATCTACTACATGCTGAACATCAAGCCATATTTTTAAGTTGCTATTTTATCTTTATGAAAGCAATGTAAGATAAGTAATATCATCCCAACTGTGTGTAGAATTCAATTAGAGTATCAATGATATACTAATTGTTAGAGAAGGAAGAGACTTGTAATTACCATTTGGTCAATTTAACTTCAGTAACTATCACTAATCTATGAAGCCTGATAGTGTTAATGCAATTCCTTTCAATACGCTAAATTTGAAAAAAAAATGATGTTTGAAACTAACATTTTGCATCATGTCATAGCTTACAAAGCAGTTTTACATATTTCACATAGTAAGAATAACTAAACTTTGATAGGAGAGGTTTTTTTTTTTTTGAGACGGAGTCTCGCTCTGTCGCCCAGGCTGGAGTGCAGTGGCGCGATCTGCAACCTCCGCCTCCCGGGTTCATGCCATTCTCCTGCCTCAGCCTCCCGAGTAGCTGGGACTACGGGCGCCCGCCACCACGCCCGGCTAATTTTTTGTATTTTTAGCAGAGACGGGGTTTCACTGTGTTAGCCAGGATGGTCTCGACCTCCTGACCTCGTGATCTGCCCGCCTCGGCCTCCCAAAGTGCTGGGATTACAGGCATGAGCCACTGCGCCCGGCCTACAAGAGCAGATTTGAAATGTTCTCACCACCTCACACAACACAACACACACACAAAACGATAACTATGGGTGGTGATGGATTTGTGAATTTGACTGTGATAATCAATACATCATGTGTATGTATACCAAATCATCACATTGTACAACTATATACAATTTGTCAATTATTTTAAAATAAAAATAAAAACAACAACAAAAATAATACAGACATTATGTATTGAACACTGTCGGGTATAAAACTAATTTGTGGTAGATTATTTCATTTAATCTTACATAAATACCGTAAAGTTGGTATTTCTATTATTATCTCAATTTAACCAATGGGGAAAATGTATCTTAGAGTGTTATTTTGCCAAAGGTTACACAGTGGTCTTAGTAGGATTTGAACAAGGGCAGTCTAATTCTATAACCCATGGTCTTCAATACTACGGCAAACTATCTCTTTTAAAATAATGGTTTGAGAAATGTTTGGTCCAGAAATAAATATTTCATAAGTATATACTACCTGATGAACATTGAGCCATATTTTTAAGTTGGTATTTTATCTTCATTAAAACGATGTAAGATAAGTAATCTTATGCCCATTTTACGTAGGATAAAGCTAAAACTCAGATCTAGGATAACTCATAGGTAAAAACTGGCATATCCTGTCTTTTGACTTTGGATTTCAGAGTTTTTCCACTAGGGCTTAGAGTTGAACACAAATGGGTTTCAGAAACAGGAAAAGAAGCCTCAAGGGTCCAGATACGGAGGACTCTTCCAACTGGACAAGTCTTAGGGAACTTGAATCTGGAAAACCTACGGTTATTATGGGAGCACTTCAATCCAAGAAGAAAATGATTCAAATTTGTTATCTCTGTAGTCAAATCTTAGCAACTGCACAATAAATAGGCTGGAAATAATAAGGAATTTTTTTGTTTGTTTTTTAAAGTGGGCAATGCACAATCATATAGTCAATTACATAAATCCATTGAGTGAAGGACATACACATATATCAAAAATTAAGGGAATAGAAAGTTGGTTAGTGATGCAGAGACTCTCAAGGATTTGTTACCAGGTTTGACTTTGTACCTATAGAGAGGTTAATTTTTAGGCAATGAGTCAGGAATATTTTAGAGGCATGACAGTCATCAACATCCAATCTTGTTTTCATTTGGTTTCAATTGTTCTCTATTTACACTTTCACTTTATTCTAATGGCTTGAGCCCCACTTTTTTGGTGTGATCTAGCATCCTGGAATTTGATTTTAGGTGGCCTGTAAGAGTTTTTCTGGGCATATTATCTTTGGTTCTTCTATTCCTGACTGCATTGGTTAATGTAGTAGACATAAATGGAATTCAGCAAATTTTTCTAGCTCTCAATAATCTAGGCAAATTGTGGATTGAGCTTTTCCACCCCCTTTGAAGTTAGGTGGGAACATATGTGATTAATTTTATGTCAACTTGCAGAGTGTTTCTGGATGAGATTAACCCTTAATTGGTGAATTTTGAGTGAGCGGATTGTCCTTTATAATGTAGGTGGGCCTTGTCTAATCAGTTGAAAGCCTGATTAGAACAAAAAGACTGGCCTCCCCAAGCAACAGGGAATTCTCCAGCAGATTACCTTCAGACTGCATCTGCACCACGGTCTTTCCTGGATCTCTGCCTGCCAGCCTGTGGATGGGAACTACACTATTGACTTTCCTGGGTCTCAGGCCTGCTGACTCTCACTACAGATGTAGACTTGTCACTTTCTATAATTGCATGAACTGATTCCTTACAATAAACCTCTTTCTATATAGATACACATCCTATTGGTTCTATTTGTTAGAAGAATGCATCACGTGACTTCTTTTTTGACAAATGCAGCATGTGACTTGCTTTTGTCACAGAAATGAGCATTGGAGTGATACATCACTCTCAGTGAAATTTTTAAGAAGCAGGTCACAATTCACCTGGTTCCCTTTGTGCCACAGTGGAATGTAGAAGCACGTGTTAAAAATAAAATGTCTTTCAGTCTGGAATCCAAAATGGTCACAAGGAATACAATGCTTATTTTTATCTGCAAAAATTTTACTGGACTAATAACTGAGAGCAGGGTTTGCTTGTTACTTTGCCTAAACCTAGCCTAAACTAATGCAAGTAGACTAATTCACCCTAATTCTGGCTTTTAAAACAGAAACCCTCTTGTTTCTATCTGGGCTTGCCAACTCCAAACCTAAATGTGTACAGATTTAGAATTGATGGACATATAAAGTATTAATTACCACAAATTATAAAACCTCCAAGCTGAACACTTTTTTAACTTAATATAACATCATGTTCAGAGTCAGTTCTACCACTTCAATGTTTCACTCTCTTCAAATACCTAATTGTTACCCTCTTACTTTTATGACAAAGAAGAGTGTGCTTTAGATATATGCCTCATAAAACTCTATATTATAACATTGTCAATGGAGAAATATATTTTTCTGAAATTGACTGCACTTATTGTTTGTGTATTTCAAGGACAGTATCAAAATCAACCTTTTCAGTCCCATATGACGTTAAATGCAACTTTCAACTTTCCAAATCTGAAGGCTAAAAATTACCTGTACAAATCTTCATAATATATGTTTAACGGAATCTGGTACTTAAAAAAATTTTCACGTGCTAAGTGTAATGATTCAGACATATTCTGATTGAATGTTTGAAGTTGATCATTAAAAAAAAAGACAAGATAAAGAAAAATGAGGGGATGTGTGTTGTGCTTTGCTTCACAAGGAGCATTTGGAAATTTTCCTGACCTCTCATTTTTATTTATTTAAATTAACGATGGCAGCATTCATTGCCATCTGGCCCCCAGGCACAGTGAGCTAACGAAAAAAAAATAAAAGAAACTTCAAAATAATCATTTAAATGATTTTAAATAATTCAGCCAATGCAAGTGTTGAGAAAGCATCATTTGGATTGGCAGAGCAGAATAACTAGACTCCAGGGGTCAGCAAATCTGAATTTAGCCAGTGCTGTGTATTGAAAAAAATTAGATCAGGATGTCCCCAGGAGGAAACGTGCTTTCCCCCCAGAAAACATGGGATGAGATGGACACTGGGCTGGGCCCAATCTATATACTATTTGCAAACCTTCCCACTCTTTTATCTCTGGAATTTAGATGATCAAGTTTGCTAGCAGTGTTGGTGTTTGGTATTTGAGACTCTGCATATTAATCCAATTTGAAATCTTATTCCACATTGAAACACATCCTGACAAAGCATCAACATCCTGTGTGCACTGATTATTCTCTGATAAGTCCTTGAACGTTTTCCATTTAGTCTGAAACAACTTGAAGCCCGCATGAAAGGTAATACTGAAAGAACAATCCTAATGTCATTTAGTTCTTCGCTCAGTCAACACATATTTTTGGCAGCACAGGAATATTGTCTTCCACCATCTGTGCAGAACAGAATTTGGGTTTTTGTTCAGGATCTGTTAGAATGTGCTTAAAACTCAGTGTGTACCTAGATTTTGATTCTTGCTCTGAGCCCTAATTATGCATTGTTTGGAATGTAAAGCGGTTGCACTGAAATCTTTTCTCTTCTGTCACTGACATATTATACCAATAAAGTTCAAAATAAAATTTGGTTCAGTGGTAGGTAGTTGATTGTTTCATTTTTATGGCGATGTAAATCCAACAGCATTTCATTCAGTTCATTTTGAACGTATAGTCTGAGAGGAATAATTTAAGAATCCAAGAAAACAGTCATATACACCAGCATACAAACAAAATGTGACCGAGGGGCTTCAATATACTGAAAATATTTCTCAAAATAACCATTTGAAGAGTACCATTCCCATTGTAACAGATGACAAAAACTGAGGCTCAAAAATGATACATGACTATTAAGCAGTAAAGCTATACATATTTGTTATATGTGTGTGTGTGTGTGTGTGTGTGTGTGTGTGTGTGTGTGTGTGTGTGTGTATAATTATTTTTTTTTTGAGGTGGGGTCTTGCTCTGTCACCCAGGCTGGAGTGCAGTGGCGCGATCTCGGCTCACTGCAAGCTCTGCCTCCCGGGTTCACGCCATTCTCCTGCCTCGGCCTACCGAGTAGCTGGGACTACAGGCGCCAGCCACCACGCCCGGCTAATTTTTTTGTATTTTTAGTAAAGATGGGGTTACACCATGTTAGCCAGGATAGTCTCAATCTCCTGACCTCATGATCTGCCCGTCTTGGCCTCCCATAGTGCTGGGATTACAGGCGTGAGCCACCGCACCCAGCCAGTAAAGCTATATTTTTAACTTAGGCCCAGGTTGTGTCGAAGCACACATTCTACTTATTAAATAAACATGTTCCAATAATATTCTCTCATTTTGTATGGAGATGAATAAATTCCTCTTATGCTGAGATTGCAGTAGGTTCTTTGCAAAGAAAGCAAAGGAGGGCAGGAGGTTATGTTCTTCCAGAATTTTTAAGTATAAAGTACAAGGGAGGACATTTAGGAAGCAATTTCTATATTACTATAAGGATGATATTTCTCAAACATAAAACTAATTACACACCATTTTGTTTAAACAGCTTTGATGTCTCCCTATATCTACAGGACAAAGTCTAAATTATTTAACATGACATGAATTGAACCCACACCCATCTCCTGATCTTCACCTCTAAAATGCTAATGTCTTTGTGTCTTAGTTCCAGCTACATTGAATTACTTAGCTCTTCTAGAATGTGACTTTTTTTTCACTTTTCTAAAATTTTACTCATTCTGATTTTTCTACCTAGAATTTCCTTTCATCCTTTAAAAGGCAAGCACTTATCTATCAAGAATTATTTCAAATACTACCTTCTTCAATAATTCTGTACTTTTTCATCCTTTCTGAAACACACGCATGCTTCCAAAACGCATCAATGGCAGCTCTTTTGTGTATATACTTTCTTCCTGGGTAGATAGAATTTAACTGCCTCAAGGTATGTGGTAGAATAGTAGCCATTCAGTTTTTGGTTAATATGCAAAAAACTAAGAAACAAAACAGAGAAAGTGTATGTGAAAATAAAAAATGAAAGCACAAAATTAAAACCATTACAAGAAACCATCCAGATACCTCTTTTTTTAAAAAAAAATCATAATTTGTATTTTAAGTTCTGAGGTACATGTGCAGGATGTGCAGATTTGTTAAATAGGTAACATCCAGATACCTCTTACAGGAGAGCGATAAGATACTCTTTAGTTCATCTAGTGACATTCCAAAGCAAATGCATTCTATAATTATAAAGATTAGCTAGATGTTATTTTTTGGGGGAGTTAATTTTGAACTGGGCATTTATTGAAACGGTGGATACTTACCAGCAAAAAAAGACACAGGTCTTGTTAGCTGCTACATATACAAAGAAAGAAATTGCAGTAGAAATTCTACAAACACACTTTACGTATTGCTACAGAGGAAAAGCACAGAGTCCAAATGTGCACCTCAAATCTAGCCTATATGATTATCTTTCTCTCTCCCTCTCACACACACGCGCTTTTTAAAAATAGATTTGGCTAATTATGAACACAAGATGACCAATATTCTACACTTTACAACAAAACTTTGAATGCATTTCTTATAGTTCCTACGTGGTTTCTTTCCTCTCTCTTATTTAGCTTGTTATGGTAATAACTGGAATATTCATCCAGTATCACTTCTGCTTCAGTAAGTTCCCTTGGTTTTTCCCTGGGAAAAACATAATCATACAATTAAAACTCAAAAAATGATACAATAAGCTCCATAAAAGTATACATATTGAACTGAGACAGGATTAGCTCCTTCTGAAAGTGGTGGGACTTAGTAGGAGAGACATAAGAGTGGACCCCTGGAGGTCTGCTTAGTGGAGCCTGTCCAAGAGTTGCCACATTGAAAATGAAACAAGGAAAAAAGAAGGAAAATAGCAAAAAATAAAAGTGGTGATACCATGGAGAGGAGTGGAAAAAGAGGAGGGAGGCTAGAGTAACCTGAAGGAAAACAAATTATATTATTTTCTGTTTCCCCTTCCCAGGACAAAAACTTTGCTCATTCAGGAAACTGGCAAGGATTCTTTGATTTGGAACTACAAAGAAAGATCAGGTAGACAAACATATTGAGAAGACTCAAAAACACAGCCAGTCTGCAGAGATAAAGAATTATTCCAACAACCTCCACCCACCACCTGCCCCCATGACAGTTTTGGGGGCATTCACTGTTAGAGATTCACATTAAACGAGATAAACTGGAGAAACATGGGTCTGTGTGTTGAAGAGGCCCTGGGATGATGGAAACCCTCATGGTTAGTTGAGTGAAGAGGCATGAATACCCTAATGTCAAAACAAGACAGTAAGTGAAGACATGCCAGAAGAACTAAGTGTTGCTGTCTGAATGAAGAGAAAAGAGTTGGCTACTGAGATAGTGACCTCTCCTTTCTCCTTTCCTTTCCTTTCCCTTCCCTTCCTTCCTTTCTTTCTTTCCTTCTCTTCTCTTCCCTTCTTTTCTCTTCTTTTCTTTTCAAGATGATGTTTTGCTCTTGTTGCCCAGGGCTGGAGTGCAGTTGTATGATCTCGGCTCACTGCAACCTCCATCTCCCGGGTTCAAGTGATTCTCCTGCCTCAGCCTCCTGAGTAGCTGGGATTACAGGCATCCACCACCATCCCTGGCTAATTTTTTGTATTTTAAGTAGAGATGGCATTTCACCATGTTGGCCAGGCTGCTCTCAAACTCCTGACCTCAGGTGATCCACCCACCTCAGCCTCCCAAAGTGCTGGGATTACAGGCAGGAGCCACCATGCCTGGCCGATGGTGACCACTGTTTAAGAAGAGGCTGCACCGTATTGTTTTTAGGAAGTCACAGCTCTGGAATCAGACCAAACTAGGCATAAATCTGGTCACTTCTGTATCTTAAGCAGATGATCTTATCCTGTCCGTATCTACAGCTTCATCTTGGGCCACTTTCCAACGTTTACCATACTTCAGCCTCGCAGGCCTGCTTCCCATCCATTGAGTCCTTCCAGCTACTGACCTTTGCTTTGACCTGAAACCTGAAGCCAGCCTGTCAAGTAGATCCATAATGTGAGTGACAAATCCAAGTTCCTTGTGTAATTATACATTTTATTACAGCTGCATTAAAAAATTAAATAGGAAACTGTATTGGTCCATTTTCACACAGCTATAGAGATACTACCTGAGACTGGGTGATTTATAAAGAAAGGACTCACAGTTCTGCATGGCTCGGGAGGCCTCAGAAAATGTACAATCATCACAGATGCAAAGGGGAAGCAAGGCAAGTCTTATATGGTGGCAGGGGAGAGAGAGAGAGGGAGAGGGAGAGCACAGGGGAAACTGCCATTTATAAAATCAGCAGATCTTGTGAGAACTCCCTCATTATCAGGAGAATAGCATGGGAAAAACTGCTCCCATGATCCCATCATCTCCCGACAGGTCCCTCCTTCGACATGTGGAGATTACAATTCAAGAGAGATTTGCGTGAGGCCACAGAGCCAAACCAAATCAGAAAGTTACTTCTAATACATTTTATTTAACACACTATGTCGAAAACATCAGCATTTTAACCTGTAATCCATATTAAAAGTGAGGTATTGACTAGGTATTATTTTAGGTTCTTTTTATTTCTTCTTAAGATTTAGAAATTTGTTGTGTATTTCACACTAACACACACCTGCACTTATGCTAGCCACATTTCATGTCCTGCATCAGACAGTGTAGATTCAACCCTTGCTTTTTTAATTCTCTTCTGCTATGGTTTGAGGATTCCCTCCAAATCTCATGTTGTAATTTTGTCCCCAAGGTGGCAGTATTGAGAAGCAGGACCTTTAAGAGGTGACTGGGTCATGAGGGGTCTGCCTTCATGAAAGGATCAATCCATTCATGGACTAATGGAAGAAAGGGTTATCATGGGAGGGGAACCTGTGGCTTTATAAGATATGGAAGAGAGACCTAAGCTAGGATGTTAGCATGCTCAGCTCCTTTGCTGTGTCATGTCCTGTGCTGCCTCAGTACTCTGCAGAGATTCTCCACCAGCAAGAAGGCTCTTACCTGATGCAGCCTCTTGACCTTGGACTTCTCAGATCCCATAATGGTAACAAATAAATTCCTTTTCCCTATAAATTACTCAGTTTCAGGTATTCTGTTATAAGCAATAGGAAACAGGCTAAGACATTTTCCCTCCACTTTTGCTTGGACAGCTGTTCTAATCTACTAGAATGACTTAGAGAAAAGCTGCACTTTCAGAACAGAATTTGCCTTCGTATTATGTACTCCATGGTACCCTATAATCCTTGATTATAGCGATTTCATGCTAATGAATTACTCGTGCTGCAATCAGTTTAAAAGCTGTTATCCTCATTAGATTGAAGGCTCCAGGACTACTCCTTTTATAGGTATCCTTATATCCCCAATGCTTACATAATGCCCAATAAGAGGAGGTATTTGACTAATGTCTGCTGACTAATCATTATCTAGTACCTTGGAGCCTTTATTTTCTCATCTGTAAAGTGGGAATAAAATAACAACCCTACTTCATAGAGTTATTGTGAGGATTAAATATGTTCACATATGTGTATGTGTGTGTGTACTTATAATCATGGCTGGAATATCATAGCTGCTATATAGTATCTAGCTCATGGTAACAGTTGCAGCAGACCTTCTACCCCTAACTTTGTGATGGTTAAGAATGTGCTGAGGCACCAACATGGCACATGTATACATATGTAACAAACCTGCACGTTGTGCACATGTACCCTAAAACTTAAAGTATAGTAAAATTTAAAAAAATTTTCAAAAACGAAAAAACAAAAACAAAACAAAAAGAGAATGTGCTGAGGAGTGTGTCTGGCATATGACGGGTGACTTAAATTATTTTTAGGCTTAGTCTATTTATTATTTAATATATGTGTTAAATAATATATTATATTAATTAAATCTCTTAGTATTGCTTTGGAGTCCCTGCTTTGGACATGACATTCTTAAGAGATCCAAGAAAATAAAGAGGATGCCTCATTTTGGAACAGTCTGCATACTTAATTACTAGAAATAGCAGAAAAAGGGCATTGATTAGGGTTCACATGAGATTGTCTAGTGAGTATGGTTAGGAAGTAAGACCATTTGTTTGTAAACCAGAATTTCTAGATTCTAGTATTTCTACTTCTATTAATATATTATATGATTTAGTAAGGTATTTAAGTTTCTATATTTTTATTTGCCCAATGAGAAGTAAGATTAGCGATTCTTCATTGCCTAAATTTTGGTCAGCCAAGAACATGTGTACCCATAATTGGTCCTTTTCTTAGCCCCCTTGCAGAGACACAGCCTGCTGGCCAGCTTATTGTACTCTCTTTTCATTTCCCTTACTCCTTTAATCAGAAATAGAGACGTGACAATGTTGAGTCTCCTGTGGACTAAAGTGGACTGGGAAACACTGGGCTACACCATAAAAGGCCTGTCTGGCAAATGCTAATAATCCATATTACATATTCAGTCCTTGTAACGTAAAAACAGAAATCTACAGAACAAAATAATTGTACATATAACCCAGTGCCCAGATGAGTATTTAAAAGCCTTTTTTAAAGCACTTTAAGGAATCTCCACACTGTTTTCTCCATAGAAGTTGTACTAGTTTACATTTCCACAAGCAGTGTAGAAGTGTTCCCTTTTCACCGCATTCACACCAATATCTATTATTTTTTTCTTTTTTGATTATGGCCATTCTTGAGTAAGGTGGTATCACATTGTGGTTTTGATTTGCATTTTCCTGATCATTAGTGTTGTTGAGCATTTTTTCATGTGTTTGTTGGCCATTTGTGTATCTTCTTTTGAGAATTATCTATTCGTGTCCTTAGCCCACTTTTTGACGGGATTGTTTTTTTTCTAGCTAATTTGTTTGAGTTCCTCATAGATTCTAGATATTAGTCCTTTTTGGATGTATAGATTGCAAAGATTTTCTCCCACTCTGTGGGTTGTTTACTAAAGCAAACGATAGCCCTCAAGGGGGGTGTTATATACAACTCACTATGAAGAACTTAGTAATGTCAATAATTTTTTGTTCTGAACAGACATCTGATATGCTTAATGATTTCTACAATAAAAAGATGGTTGCATGGTGGAATTTTCCTTACTGAGGTTCAGTGTAGTTAGAATGGTGAAGAGAGACATAGAGAGCCTACAGGGTTGCAGGTAGGTGTGGCAATTCTTCTAAATTGTAGCTCAAATTACAACCAAGAGAAAACCTAATGGTTTCATCAAGAAAGTCAAGACAAAATGGGATTTCAGAGCAAGGAAGGCAAGAAACTAGAGACACATGGAAGAGAAGAAAGGAAAGCAAGCAGGCGGTGGAGAATGGTTGTTGTCCATATTTGGTATGAGATGGCTTTGTATGTGTGTGTCTCAAAGAAAAGAGACAAGGCAGATTAATCATGCATTATTCAAGGGTAAGGAATGAGATGCAGTCAGATGTGAGTTAGGTTGAATTCCAAAGCCGCTATTTAATAGTTGTGTGACCTTTGTTTACTTACTTAAGCTAGTAAGCTTACACATTCTCACCTATAAAGTAGGGGAAAATACCTATATTAAACATTTGTATCCGTTAATTTGGTTTTGCTTTGCTTTTTATCTTTGGATCATTAAATGGCACAGAATAGATATAAACTATAGTACCTTTCTGTCCCCTTCTTTCATTCATCTGAATGTTATTGTGCTTGTACAATTCTGCATTTAGCTTGACCAATCTTCTGTAGATTTCACATGGGACACTTAGGCATACAAGCCAGATTAAAGAGAAAAAATATGTCAAAATTGCAATGATGTCTGCTTGTGTGTGTGTGTGTGTGTGTTGGGAAAATTTAAGGTACTGATTAAAACTTCCCATTTCTTGACTAATTATTGATCAATTTTCTAGACTTTTAGATACCCTTAAAATATTTTCACTCTTAGGAATTTGTGCATACAGATGACTATTTAGGGCTACATAGAAGAAACAATTTCTGCTGCCAAATGTACCCATTTTTTGTGTGGAAAAAGATCACATTTTAATATTCCTGAAGTTACAAGATCACAAGTGCTGGGGATGCATATGACTGACATGAAACTCACTGAACAAGTAAAGGCATTGCTAAGTAATTGAGTCTTCAACAATTAAAGCTGAGCTTTGCTGGCATACTGGCTAGATTGAACAAATCCAGGATACAGCATACATTGACCAGATCCTTGCCACCTATAGATATTAATTAACCTTTCATTTAATTTTAGGCAGCTCTGAATTTTCTGAGTGTGAACATTGTTATTCATAATAAACATTTATAATATTATGTAGTATATGGAAAAAATGAACGGGGAAAGAAATAATTATTTTTTAAATTGCAGCTTACTAACTCTCTCTGGAAAGCTGTCTGTGGTCTCTGAACCCATGTTTATCTGAAGTTTTAATCTCTGACATGCCTATGTCATAAAAGAGTTGTGAGTTATCATATGAAAATAAAAATATACCATATTGTATAATGAATGGTGAGATTATAAAGAGGTGTTATCCTCAATCTAATTTTACAAGGATCTATTGTTTCAGCTCACCCATGTCATTAATTGTGGAAACTTGTTCATTCATTTAGCATATACCTATTGAGCCTCTACTCCATTTTAAGTGGAGCAGGCACACCAAATTTATTTTAATAAGAAAACCATATTCAATAGATAATTCTGAGTATATTTAGTACCAAAAAAGAAAAGTGCAGCTACTGCGGGATATTTTTGAGGAAAACTTCTAGGTCATTTGTCCAAGGTGATGCTACAGTGTGGGTGGAGAAGGAGATAATAAACATTTGAGGAGAGTGGAGAGTTATAATATAGTCATAGAGAATGGGAAAGCAATAAAATGAAAGGAAGATAAAGCAAGATTGTTAGATTGTTACAAACCAATTACATTTTGGTAACCATTAATTTATAATTAGATCAACTCACTGTTGGACTTTTGGGTTTCATAGAGCCAATCAGTACAGTTTTAATAAATCAGTTTCAAGGCATTGTATAGAATGTCTCACTCTATGGTGATTTTTAAGGTGTCAGAGTTTAGCAATTTAATTGCAAGATGGTGATTAGAAGGCAGATGAAGTTGTGTCAAGGACTATGTCAATTGCTTTAAACTTGAGGTTTTTTTTTTTTCTAGTCATTACTCATAGCAACCCAATAATGTTGATATTATTTCTGAAATGTTATGTATGATAGAAACAAAGCTTAGTAGAGTTAAGCAACGTTCCCAAGATCACAAATGACAAGAGCCAGGGATGAAATCAGATGAACTCATGCCTCAAGTTTATACTTTCTTTCACTATGTTGTCTCTCTAAGGGGCATGTTTTTCATTATTCTGCAATGAGTAAAATTCTGATATGCACTGTGCCTGGAAGATGACAACACTTGTCCTCCAAAATGTCTCTTAGTCGACAAGGCTGCATTTCTTCAAAGACTTGTGCAAATATGTGGCGATGTCTGCAGTGCTGTTCCATGAAGCATGAGAAAGGTGACCTTGGCATGGGAGGGTTTGAAGACAGGCATTTCTCAACATTTGCATCTGCACTGAAAGCCCCTGGAAATGGCCCCTGCAGACCACCAGATTTTGAGCATGACCACATTTTGATAGACCTGCCTGAATACATTAACTACAAAACACTGTTGGGATTGACCTACTGACCTGATTAGTGGCTTGGCTCAACATTATCCATCTGGAAGCTGAAGCGTGTCTGCCAAACACAATGGTCAGAGTGTTGGCAGGGCTGAAATTGAGCTGTTCTTCCTAATGGTGCCTTGCTAACAGGTTCATTTACCTCCTAGGACCACTACTTGAATATTACAGTTATGTCATGCTTGGTGGGGTGGAAAATACAAAGGATCTGAAGCTAAACACACTAGAGTGTGAATTGATTTGACTGCTTAATAGTTTGTCAATTACAGTGTCACCTTAAGTCTCAGGTTTCTGTTTTTGATTTGTGTTGTTTTCTAATCTGTGAAATGGGGACAATGATTTCTCTCTCATAGAGTTGTTTTGAGCATCAGAGATAGTGCCCTGTAATACAAGTAGAAAACATTTTTTGGACGTTCATTATTGCACAACATTGTATCAGGTACTTTACAGAGAATAACATTTAATTGGGAAAAGAACATTACTTAGGCCTCATTATTATCTCAACTTTAAAGAAGTGGAAACAAAGGTTAGAGACGTAAAATTTCCTTCCTTACGCAACAATCTAAGCAACACCAGGAGTAGAATTTGGTTTCAGTAGATTATGATTCACCATTTGCCACTGTTGTCTTTGCTGCCTTCTGGTTTGGGGAACTGGCTAGAGATCACTCAGCAAAATGTCAAATGACATAGGCAAAAGCTTCAGAAAGTTGGCCTAGATATAGTTTACATCACTTAGTGCTCAACTCGTTGCAAACGTGACAGAGAAAAATGCTAACTGGTCTACTGCGATCCTCAGCTGCCGTCAATTATGTTGAGCTTCCTTTAGACAGTGAACTGATGGAGTCACTTAAGTGCAAAGTAATTTACCATTCACTAGGCTAAATGTTTTGCAGAAGAGGTCTCTATTGATGTTCATTATCCCTAAAGTGTGTCCCTTTGGTGATAGATGAATTAAACATGAGAACTCTTCTTAAAGCATAAAAATTGCCCCAAACAATGTTCTCCAAAGGGAAATGCAGACCTATTTGATTGTGTTTGTGTATGTGTGTGGTATGTAGTGCTCTCAGTTTGTTTAATAAGAGAATCCACCTGCTCAGACTCATTCTCTTAAATATGCACTGTACTAAAAAATTATTCTTGAGACAAATTAAGAACATGGACAAAATGAATTGTCATAGTTCACGTAGTATATTTCCAGAAGCATCAAAAGCATTAGATGAAGCAGGGTGTTTACTACAAACGAACCACAAATAGATCTCAAATCTAAATTTGTTTACAAATGTACTAAGATCTTTATTAAACCTATTTCTAATTTTGATTAAATCTAATATCAGTAAAGACCAAGTATAAGTTTCCATTTTATGAAAGAAAACATCAGGGTCAAGACTTCAACTGTTGTTGAAAAATGAATTCTGCCTGACTCAGAAATGCACCCACCATTCCATTAACTTGATAGGCAACTTTGAACAAACTATCAACCTCAGTAAACTTGGAGTTGGGCATTTATTTATTAAATGAGGGGGTTTAATTGCATGATTGAAGGAGGAAAGTTTTAAGCAAAAATAATTTTGTGAATTTGAGGGTCCGGATGTTATCTC
This sequence comes from Homo sapiens, assembly GCF_000001405.40. NCBI lineage: Eukaryota > Metazoa > Chordata > Mammalia > Primates > Hominidae > Homo > Homo sapiens. Next base: position 64,096,341 of record NC_000016.10, read on the forward strand.
TGCCGCTTACTGGCTGTTTCCCCATCTATAAATAAGAAAATACTTTTGTAATTTGGGAGATGTGAAGGTGAATTCATACTATACGTGCAAAGACTTGATGCAACATAAGTAATTAGTAAATACCACTTCTCTTTCCTTCAAAATCTTAAATTCCACAATTTCACAATTTTATAATTCTAAACCCATGAGACCAGAGATCTTGATTTTCATGGGAATATCACTTAAGTTCCTTGGGCCTCACTTTCAACACAAATCTAATAAGGAAATTAGCTCTCTATTGTGAAGAAGGTTTCAACTCCTCTGATGCACTGGTAATGACCTCTGGAACATTCTGCTGAAAATATTTCCAAGGCAATGTGAAGACCCTATAGAATAAAAATGCTGTATGAATAAATCTGTCAAGAAGCAGGCATGCCACATATGTTCCATTCAGGAATAGATGATTCATAATATTACCTCCAGGATTAAAGTCCAGGGTGATGGAATTTGTTGAAGCTTGCATAGGAAATCAAGTTTCAAAGAAAGATGATGTATTCCATTAGTCCTAGCGCAGTGACAAGATGATGTCATAAACAGACATTAAACAAAACACACATGACATGCTGAGGCCTGTGCTGGGGTTAGTGGATGATACAAATTTAAGGAAAATCTCTGTCTTCAAAAAGCATACTATCTACTGAAGATTAATTAATGAGTGTATAGACTTACAGGAGTCTCTGCATGAAGGCATCAACAATGTCCACAAGTGCGCTTATGCTCATGGAATGGACATTTACAAACACACTAGAAAAAAATGTTTCTACCAAATGTGTAATAATTTAGAGTTAATGAGAATTTTTATGTGCCTGACACTAAGTTAAATTCAAGAACTCATATAACCCCACTATAAATCATAAATCAGGTAATATTGTAATTCCTATTTAATGTATTTTTAAACTGAAGTTTAGAAAGGTTGAGGAATGTGTCCAAGTATATATTCAAGTGATGGCTTGAAGCAAGATTTGCTTGCCAACAAGTTGGTTCCTTTTACACACAATGTAAAATTTCTCTTCATAAAGATGGAATGGATGCTTCTGTGATAGAAGAGACCCACCTGCATCGCAGGTGCCCATTTAAAGGCTAGAAGACCAATTTTCCCTTTGGTATTTTGGTGCTTCACAAGAAAAACAAAATAAGAGAAAAACATTTCTAATATCTTTTAAAAATTTTTTCAAGATACATATTTTAGTTAAAAAATTAAAACTGAAAAGGGGTCCAGAGAGATCTAAGTAAGCTACTCTTAATTTTCAAATTGAGAGAACAAAAAAGGAAGCAAAAACAAAGTAGAGCCCAGTCTCAGAATGAGAGGACAACTTCCAAACATGATCAAAAAGGTAGTCACCAGCCATCTATCAGGAAATTGGCTCTTTTCCTGAACTCCTGCAATTTTACCGCACTTGAGCACTGTGTTGATGATACCATTTACAACATGGATGAGATGCAAATGTATTGAAAATTTCTAGTTCTGGAAGTACTGTTGGTTATCTAGATTTCATTCTCAGGGATTGGCACATTGGAAGAAAAACAATGTTCCGAGATAAAGCAAAGGGCAGCAGTATATTGGTCCAATTAATTTGAGTTTTTGCTTTGAAGGAAGTCCGAAGAAATTAAGCTTTAAAAAAAAAAGACATCAAAAATTCCAACCCAACACCACAAATGTGCAGCGGGATAGAAAAGTTTAGCGATAAGTTAGGGTAGAATATGCTAAAGAAGAGATGCTAAGAGAAAAAGGTACATTGCTATTAACATCCATGGCCATCCAAGCTAAGAATATTCATGTGGAGAACGCTACAAAATAATTGAGTCCCTGTAGTTTGACAAATTAAGTGGAGACCATTAAAACAGTAGCATTGCTATCAGGGCAGAGAAAGAAAGTGTAAGACATTGTCCAATCTCTGGACAAGTATTTGACTCATAGATCCAAATTTAATTCATCCCTGGCCTAAGTACTTATTTTGGTGATATATATATATGTAGATATAGATATAGATATAGCTATATCTATATGGTGATATATATATAGATATATAGATATAGATATAGACATATAGATATATATAGATATAGATATAGATATATAGATATATATATAGATAGATATAGCGTTTCATCAAATAGATTCAGGTGCAGGGAACTTGACTGAGATCCTACATCTGAAATATTAAGGACCCTTTGTCTCAAATATATGAGGTGTCCAGGAACAACTACAGTAAGGACTAGATTATCAAGATGGCTTACTTACTAGTGAGTCATCAAAGTATAAAACAATGGCCTTTTTTAAGCCTACCCTATAGTCATAGGGTTAAGACTTCATTAAGTCTACATTTGGGGACTTGCAGCCCCAGGAGGAATAAGAGTTGGAAGTCAAGGGTAAAGCATGAAGAGATGCTGACTAGCAGTAGTGCATTTATTACTGTATTGTGAAATAGTCATTCCTAGTTTTTACTATGAGAATTGCACTTAATGCTAAGTTTCTGTGTTCTAAGGTTTAATTAGAATCTGTTTCTGTAATAGTGTATGAAATGAACTTTATGCTCACATAAGAATCTCAAATAATAAGTAATCATCCAAGAAATTGAATTTTCTATGATAAAATAAAAATGGTCATTTCAGTTATAGCATGAACCTTAGATCCAGATGAAACTTAGAGAGAGGCAGTCTTTTTCTGCCCCATCATGTCACAGTGAAACATCTATAGAATAGAGAAGGTAGAGGACTCATTTAAGGTCACACAACTGCTTGGTGGGGCAAGGATCATGTCCTGGTTTTCTAAATGATTATTTCCCCCAACAGATATCATATCATCAAATTTGTCAAAACTACCACTATTTTTCTATCTCCCAAAATGAACCATCCTTTAATTGTCCATTTCCCTGTCTCCCTGTAGCTCTTCACTTGAGTAATTACTTAGAACCTATCCCCTTCAATGTCTCCCCCAGGAGGATTTTATTCCCTCTTATCTTGACCATGCTAATAACATCAACAGGTCTAGCAGCTAATGCTTTTCTCTTTCAACCTAGTGAAGGCACTTTTATTACCATGGATAAGGTGGCTTTCTAAAGAAGAATAAGGCACTTTCCCAAGAATATGGTAAAATCAATCTTAGAAAAAAAATATTTAGGACTATAACACATCTGCAAAATCAATTTTCCTGACATGTAATTTTAATCATATAATTTTCCTAGTCCACAACTTTCAACATCTTCTAATTGCCAAATAAATTGTCATAATTTATCATTCTGCTATTCAAGAACTCCCCAACATTGACTGATCTATCCTTTGAGCCATTTCCTCAATTCTGCCTCCGAGCCCTAGAATCTCTACTGTGATTAACCGAGTGGTATCCAAGTTTGTTATCTGTAATGTCCATCTTCACGCTTTAAACTTTTAAAGTAATCAATACATATGTAGTAAAATAAATGGAAAAATAGAGCTGGTGATTCTGCCACATTTGTAAATTAATGCAGAAGTATTTTAGTTTGTTAGTTTATTTCAGAGTTTGTCTAGGAACGGATTACTTCTATATGAATGATTAGTGGTTCCAAGTTTCCAAAACTGATGACCAAGCTCTTGATCACAAATTGCACCATTAATGTGCAGCAGGCACTAATCAGTGATAGCCGTCACTTATATTTTCTATGTCAGCTTGTTCTCCGTGGATACATAGGGGGTTATAAATCTTGGAAGTATATTTTATAGCTGGAAGACTGGTGTTAGATCCAATTTTGATAGCCAGAAAGGATGCAATATTTAAAATGTGACCTTGTCAGGGAAAATTCTCCAAAGCTGAAGAATGAGAGGTTAGGCACAATTGCCTTTATGTTTTCTTTATTTAGTATTTCCATCAGAAACTTTGGAATTTTAAAATAATATTCAGTCTCAGAAACTTTTTATAAATGAAGAGCATTATTGGGGAAGGGCATTTGGAAAATATCAAATCTAGCTTTCTTTTAATAAACTCATCGGTGTAGACACATGTATGTTGAAATTGGCATGTTTTGGAGGGTCAGATAGACATGGTTTAAATGGAATTATAATAACCTAATTTCTTCATGAAAAAATTACTAAAATGAAATTAGAAGATACAAACAACCAACATGTAGTAAAATGATAGCTTCCCCTCAGCTACTGGCCCTCTTTTCTTTCTCTTTCAGTCTAGGGATGGATATATTTTATGTATAAATATTAAGTATAATTTGTTACAAGATTTAAAAAATATATTCCTGACATAAGTGTAAAGAACTTATGTGCACCTGTAGTCCCACCTTCTTGGAAGGCTGAGGCAGGAGAATCACTTGAACCCAGGAAGTGGAGGTTGCAGTGAGTTAAGATCATGCCTCTGCACTCCAGCCTGGGCAACAAGAGCAAAACTCTGTCTCAGAAGAAGAAAAAAAAAAAAACTTATGTGAACCAGATGTGAACAATGACTGATATGAAAGATGTTTGGTGAATATAATTCTTTCCTATGCATGTTAACTTAGACATTTAGACATTTATCGTTAATCATAATACAACAAAAAAGTACAGTTTAAACTATGATTGCCTGTTACACGTTTTCACGTTGCAATGCCTGGACAGAACACAGTTTTAAAGCAGCACATGTGCATAGACACACACATTTTAATCTCAGTGATAGGTTTTCTTTTAGGATATGTGTTGCATGAATCTTTCAATTCTAGAAACTTTCCAATATTCACACGGGGTTGCCAAACCAAAAAATAACTCATTTATTTTTTTGTACAAGAAAATACAAATAAAAAGAGAAACTTGCGTATGGAATTCCAAGAGGGGAAAAAGGATGATGCTGGTATTTGCTAATAACAAATCATTCATCTCTAAGTAACAATACCTTAATAATCAACAGTTCACACAGAGAAAGGTAAGCCCAACTAAGTCAATATCGCTTAAGATCACTGCCCACCTATTTTTACCCAGTTAGGATAGTGAGAAGAAATTGTAATATATTGCTAAGTGGACTTTACCATCAGAGAAACCTGGGATTCAATCTGTACTCTGACACTGACTATCTTGTTTCTTTGGGCAATTCCCTGACATCTCTTGAGTTCCAATTTACAATTATTATGTGTCAATCATGGAAAAAAAAGATAAAAAATGGAAAATAATTCCATAAAATACTGTTAAGATAATGAAATAAGATAATATATATACAGCAATAGACACATTATGGATGTTCCAAAAATAGTTGCTCTTATTCTTTTTGAATTGAAATAGGTTAGTTCTAGCCTACATAAAAATCAATGCTAATACATGAAGCCTTCTTTAACTCGGACTGCACAATGCTAACAGAGGATTAAATAAGATTTTTTTTCTCCCATGTCTCACAACCATGTTCATTTAATCATAGTTTAATAATGCAGTATTATAATACAATTATTTCAATATTCACTGTGCATTTGTGTAAATATATACACACAAACACACACACACCTACACACGTTATTTGGATAATGTTATAAAGCAACATAAAGTACTAAACCATAACTGCCAGCAGTAGCTATATATATATATATATATATATATATATATATATACACACACACACATATATATACATATATATACATATATATATACATATATATGTGTTATAGATAGATGTTATGTTACATGTATGTATATATACACATGTATATGTGTTTATCTACCTTCATCTCTCTCTCATACATACATATATATGAGAGATAGAATGTGTGTATGTGTATTTATATAGTGAGTAGATACAGTATTTAGTTTCCATCGGTGAAAAGATAATCAGTATGAAATGCAGTAGCAAATGGCCACTAAATAATGTGTTTTATTAATTAGATAACCATCTAATTTCAATTATACTTTATTGCTGAACTTATCTCCAAGAAAACAAGTTTAGAAAGTTAACAGGTAAATCTAATTAGAGTGTATTGCTTCCTGGCACTGTTTGGGGTTAGCATAATGGTTTTCTGCTTGCAAATAAAGCATTAGAATTTCAATAGTCTATGAAACATGTTTTATTTACTTACAGATAAAAACATTTATTTTCATTTTAATAAAAATAAAAATAATTTAAAAAATATTTTTGTCCAGAAAAAACATGAATACAGTTAAAGTGCAAAACGAGATCGTGAGAACATTTTTTACTATTAAAGTGACAAATTTTAGCATTTATGTCATTAAGCATGTTAATTGTACATGTAATTCTATTTTACTGTGTTTTAATAAACTGTTAATTTAGAACAGTTTTAGATATTGTTTGAGTTCTTATATAACCCACATTTGGTTTCCACTCTAATTAACTTTATCAGTATGGCATTTTTGTTACAATGAATGAACCAAATTTGATACATTTGGTTTGTGCATTATTCATGTTTTCTTATGTTCTTTTTCTGTTTCAGCATATATTATATTTAGTAGTTAAAGATCCTAGGCACCCATTAACTGTAATAGTTTTACAGACTTTTTAAGTTTTTGATGACTTTGACAATTTTGAGAATTGGTCAAGCATTTTGTAAATTGTACCTCAATTGAGATTTGTCTGGCATTTTTCTCAAGGTTAGAGTGAGAAAGCAAGTTATGTGCTTTTGGGAGGAGAACCAAAAATTTAAAGTGCCATATTCTCACGTGATGTCAAGGGAGCATGTTACCAACATGACATCACTATTGACGTTAACCTTGATGCCTACCTGAAGTAGTGTTTCTCAGGTTTCTCCACTGTAAAGTGACTACTGACTCTTTCATACTGTACTCTTTGGAAGGAAGTCAGTATACACAGCCCACACTTAAAAGAGTGAAGAGTTATTTTCCATCTCCTTAATGGCAAAGTATCTATATAAGTTATCTAGAATTAGGCATAAGAGTGCTGTCTATTCTCTCCATTAAAAAAATTATTCAATAACTTATTATTATTATTATTGAGTCAGAGTCTCTGCCACCCATCCCGCTTGTCCTTCTGTATAGTCCCCCAGGCTGGAGTGAAGTAGTGTGGTCACAGCTCACTGAAGCCTTGACCTCCCATGCTCAAGAGATCTTCCTACCTCAATAATTTATTTACATTGTATGGATTCACAGATTTTTATATTTTGAGCTATAATCTAATAAAACTTTATTTTGTTGCTCAAATTATTCCACCTTTGGTTATTGGGAGCTTTTTCAATTGATTTCTGTGTATCTTTGACATAAAATCACATATTGCCATTATTGTGATTTTTAACACTATTTTACTTTCTGCATTACAGGATACTGGAGGTTTATTTTGTATCTATCATACCCTAGTCTTAGAATCAGTCAAATCTTCAAGGAGATCTGGTTCCTTTCGTTGGAGAATGGTGTTAGAAAACAAGATCTAAATAGTAGGTATGCTTGTGTCTACTGAGGTGGTGGTGCTTCTATACTCTGTAAGCTGAGAAGGCAAGAAAATGTATGTGTATATTAACTTATGGATATATATTAACTTATGGATATTTATATATATATATTCCTATCTATAACCATCTCTAGCTATATTAAGGTAAACATGAGTTTATACTGATGATGCCAACATTAACTCATTCCCTCGTAGATCATTCTAGAGTTCTTACATGTCTGTAAACTCCCCCTCCAGCACTGAGAAACCTTTCACCACTTGCTATTCATTTGTTTAATTTTACACCTCTAGTATGAATTTATAGCAGTACTAGAATGATTAGCCAGTACTCCTGTAGGAAAGGACTTTTCCAACTAGGGTACACTCTCTATGTATAGTTTCTTCTCCCTTTATTCTTAGACTACACACATTTCCAAAATTACTTAGGTCAAAAAATTTTTTTTCCACCTCATTTAAGGAAATTGTTTTGTATATATTTAAAACAGTTCAATTGTCCTGTCCCATTCTACCCATTCTGCATTCCACCTGGGGACCCAACCACCCCATCTGTCCATATATATATATATATATATATATATATATATATATATATATACACACACACATATGTATATATATATATATACACACACATATCCATATATATACACACACACACACATATATATACATATGTGTGTATACATACATACATACACTAGGGATGTGGTGTGTGTGTGTGTGTGTGTGTGTGTGTGTGTGTATTTAAAACTTTATATACACCAGGGTTCAATTTTTTTATGCTATAAAGTTCTATGTCTTTTGCCAAATGTATGGTGTCATGCATCCTCCATGACAATATTATAAAAAATAGTTTTATAACCCTAAAAAATCCCTTGTGTTTCACTTCCTCAGTTCTCCTTCCTTCTCCCCTCCTCTCTGGTCACCACTGATCCTATAATCTCTGTTTTACCTTTCTCAAAATGCCATACATGTGAAAGTATGTGTTACATAGCCTTTTCAGATTTGTTTCTTTCACCTATCATTAGCATATACACTATTTCTCTGTCTTTTCATGAACTGATTTTTTTTTTTTTTTTTGCTGAACAATATTCCATTGTAAGGATGTACCAGATATTGTTTAAAAATTTACCTATTGAAAGACATCTTGGTTGATCCCATTTTGGGGCTATTATAAATAAAGCTAATATCATCATTCACTTGCATATTTTTGAGTAGGCATAGTTTTCAAATCAATTGTATAAATATCTAGGAGCAGAATTGCCAAATTATATGGGGAAGGCTGTTCAGAGCTTTGTCAGAAGCTACCAAATCGTCTTCCAAAGCAGCTGTATCATTTTGCATCCCCTCCAAGAATGATTAAGAGTCCTCTTGATTGACATGCTCACAGACAAATGGCATTGTCTGTCTTGTATTATTTTAAAAATTTTACTCATTCTGTTATGAACGTAATGATATCTCACTGTTGCTTTCATTTGAAGCCCTCTAGTGTAACATGATGTGACTTTTTTTCATATGTATTTGCTATCTGTAAATCTTAGTAGATGTATCTGTTTAGATCTTTTGCCCATATTTTAATTGAAATGTGTACTTTCTTATAGTTGACTTTTAACACTTCTTTGTATGTTTGAAATAAATTATTATATATTTGTTTTGCAAACATTTTTTCCAAGTCTGTGACTTTTTTTTTTTGTATTCTCTTTGTAACAATGTCTTTTGTAGAGTAGAATTTTCTAATTTTAACAAAATCCAACTTTCTTTTTCTTGGATCAAGCATTCCTTATTATATCCAAAACACATGGACGAACCCAAAGATCATCTAGATCTTCTCAAGTGTTCCTCTTAAAATTTTATAATAGTGTGTTTTACATTTAAATCTAACATCCATTTTGCATGTATTCTTGTGAAAGCTGTAATGCCTGTGTTTAGGTTGTTTGGCATATAGACATCTAATTGTCCGAGTAAAATTATTGAAAATATATCATTTCTTTATTGATTAGCCTTTATTCCTTTGTCAAAGATCAGTTGACTATATTTTTATAGGTCTACTTCTGGACTCTGCTCTATTCTGTTGATACATGTATTTATGCTCTCTTGATTTTCTGTATAAGTCGAGTCAAGTAATACAAGTACTCCAGCTTGCTCTTCTTAAGCATTTTGTTGGCTATTCAAGGTTTTTCAATATAAACTTCAGAATGAGCTTTTTGATATCTATAAAGTAGTTTACTGGGAGTTGGTTGGGACTATACTGAATCTGTAGATTATTTTGGAAAAAATTGACATATTAGCAATATTGATCCTCTAATCCATGAGTATAGAATGTCACTCCATTTACTTAGATTTTTAAATTACTTTATATTACTGTTTTATAGTTTTTAACATACAGATTTTGCACATATTTTAATTTATACATATTTCATTTTTCCAGCGCTATTGTGATATAGTTTGGATGCCTGACCCCCCCCAAATCTGATGCTGGAATGTGATTTCCCATGTTGAAGGTGGGGTCTGGTGAGAGGTGATTAGATCATGGGGGTGGATCCCTCATGAATAGTTTAGTACCATCCCCTTGGTGATAAGTGAGTTCTCACTCAGTTAGTTCATGAAACATCCGGTTGGTCAAAAGTGCGTGGCACCGCCCCCCTCACTCTCTCTTGTTCTCTCTCTGGTCGTATGACATGCTGGCTGCCCATCACCTTCCATCATGATTATAACCTTCCCGAGCCCCTCACCAGAAACAGATGCTGGTGCCATACTTGTACATCCTGCAGAATCGTGAGCCAATTAAATTTCTTTTCTTTATAAATTACCCAGCCTCAGGTATTCCTTTATATCAATGCAAAATGACCTAATATATATTGTAAATGGTATTTTATGAGAGTTCAAATTTTAATCATGCGTTTCTAATACATAGGAAGGAAATTAGCCTTTTATATTAACATTGTATCTTGTAACCTGGCTACACACATTTATTGGTTCCAGGAATTGTTTTGTTGATTTTGTAAGACTTTCTATTATATTATGTAATTTGCTAATAAAGAATGCATACTTATTCTTTCCCAATTTGTGTGCCTTTTATTTACTTTTCTTGTCTTATTTATCTCAAATGACTTTCAATATGATGTTGTAAATGAAAGTTGAAAGAAGATATCCTTGCATTGTTGCTACTCTTAGGAGAAAAGTATCCAATTTCTCACCATGCTGCAGGGTTATTGAAGATGTTCTCCATTGAGTTGAGGATGTTGCCTTCCGTTTCTGAAAATTTTTATTTTGCCAAAAGTTTTTATCATTCGTGTTGGAGTTTTTGAATCCCTTTTTATCAATTAATATGCTCATAAATGTTTTCTTTAGACTGTCTATGTGATGTCTTATGTTGATTTTTGAAGGTTGAGGCAACTTTGTACATCTGAAATAAATCCCGCTGGTCATGGTGTAGTCTTTTTATATATTGCTGGATTTTATATAATAATATTTTGTTGAAGACTTTTGCATTTGTGTTTATGAGAAATGAACTCAGTAGTTTTCCTTTCTTATAATGTCTTTAGCTGTTTTTATTATTATGGTAATGTCCTTGTAGAATGAGTTTGCAGATATAAGCAGAGTTTTCCTCTGCTTATATTTTCCAGAATATATTTCAGAGAATTACTGTTATTTTTACCTTAAATGTTTGGTAGAATCCACCCACGAAACCACCTGTTACTGGTTCTTTCTTAAAAGGTTATTAATTACTGACTCAATTTCTTAAATAGATACCAGCCTAATCATTTTACATATCTCTCCTTGTGTGAGTTTTTGTAGTTTGTTTCTTTCAAAAAACTGGTCCATTTTCTGTTATCAAATTTTGGGGTACAGAATTGTTCATGTTTTTATTACCCTTTTAATAACTATGTGATCAGCTGTGATGACCTGCTATGGTCTGAATGTTGGTGTCCCCCAAAATTTATATATTGGAATCCAATACCCAATGTGAGAGTTTTAAGAAGTGGGACGTTTTTGGAAATAATTAAGTCATGAGGGCTCCACCCTCAAGAATGGAATTGGTGTGTTTCTATTAAAGAGGTTGAAAGGAACTGTCTTGCCTCCTTCCACCATGTGAGGCTGCACCAACAAGGCAAATGTTTGAAGTACAGAACAAATACTTACTGGACACCAAATTGCCCAGTGACTTAATCTTGGACTTCCCAGCCTGAAGAACTGAGCAATACATTTCTGTTGTTTACAAAATACCTAGTCTAAGGTATTTTGTTATACCAACCCAAATGAACTAAAACAGAAGTTGGTACCATAAGTGGAGTGCTACTATAACAAATATCTAAAAATGTGGAAGCATCTTTGAAACTAGGTAATGGATAGAGGCTGAAACAGTTTGGAGGTGTGTGTTGGAAGAAGCCTGTGCTGCTATGAATGGACCATAGAGCATGATTCTAGTGAGCATTCAGAATAAGAAGTGAGCTGTAGAGAAAGCCTCAATCATCTTAGAGATGATTTAAGAGATTGTGTAGAAATAAGGATGCTAAAAGCCTTTCTAATGAGGCCTCAGATGGAAATGAGAACATTCTATTGGAAACTTGAAGAGAAGACATTTTTGTACAAAGTGGCAAAGAACTTTGCTGAATCATGTTTGTGTCCTAGTGTTTTGTGGAGGGCAGATTTTGTGGGCCAAAAAAAATGGGATATTTTGCAAAAGAAATCTCTACGCAAACTGCTGAGATATGGCATGACTTATCTTGAGTGCTTAGAGTACAATGCAAGAAAAGATAAACCAACTAAAGGTGGAATTTGTCACCATAAGGGAAGAAAGACTTAAAGATTTAGAAATTTTCCAGCCTCGCTGCATTGCAAATAATGAAAAAACCTGTTCTCAGGAGAGAACACCAAAGATGTGGCCAAGCTACACTTTGATAAGGAGATTAGCATGGATAGGCAGAAGCCTGGTGCCGTTCATCAAGACAATGTGTAAATGAACCCAAAGGCATTTCAGAAATCTTTTGGGCTGCTCTGCCCATCATAGGGCCTAGAATATCAAGACTTGGGAACGGAAAATTTTCAAGATTCTCTACTTGCATTCTGGTGCAGTAATCCTTGGCTGTCCCAGTTGTGGCTCAAGTGGGCCCATGTGTGGCTCAGGTTGCCCTTCCAAAAGGCAGACTGTAAACCTTGGTACTGTCTATGCAATGCCTTTGCACCAGGGTGCAGATTACATAAGCTGTGAGGGCGTGAATTCTCTACCTAGATTTCAAAAAATGCCATAGAAAGCTTCAGAGTCCAGGCAGAGAATTGTCACAGGGACAGAACTACTGAAGACAGTACCCAGTAGGGCAATGCCTAATGAAGCTGTGTGGACAGGGCTGCCACAAAAACCCCAGTCTGCACAAGTCACAGGCACAACTTTCCAACTCATCAGAGTTTTAGCACTGAGCAAAACCACTGTGATAAGGCCCCTTGAAATCATGGGGATCCAACCCCCACCCAGGTATGTCAAGAAAAGCAAAGCAGGACTTCGACACAAAAATTATTCTTGAACATTAAGATTTTATGTTTGCTTTGTTGGCTTTTGGATTTAGTCAGGACCTGTTATTTTATGCTTTCCTACTTCTCCCTTTTGGAATGAAAATGTTCATCCTATGCCTATCCCACTGCTGTATTTTGAAAACAGATGACTTGTTTGATACCACGGGCTCACAGCTGAAAAGGAATTTGCTTTGTGATTAATCACATATTTGAGTCTCATTCACATCTGATTTAGATAAAACTTAGGACTTTAGACTTCTGAATTTGTTCTGGAACAAGATTAGATTTGGGGGCTATTGAGATGGAATGAATGTATTTTGCATGTGAGAAGAGCATGACTTTTGTGGGGGTGGGGGCAGAGATAGAATGCTATGGTCTGAATGTCGTTGTCCACCCAAAATTACTATGTTGAAACCTAATATCTAGTAGGATAATATTAAGAAATGGGGCTTTATGGAATGATTAAACCACGAGGGCCCCATTTCCATGAATGAGATTAGTTCTGTCATAAAATAGATTGTGGTCTTGCACCCCTCTACCATGTGAGGACTCCACAAGAAGGCACCATCTTCCAAGCAGAGAGCAAGTCTTCACCAGACACTGAATCAGCTGGCACCTTGATCTTGGGCTTCCCAGTTCCACAACTGTTATATTAAATACATTTCTGTTGTTTTAAAATTACCTAGTCTAAGGCATTTTGTTACAGAACCCTGGATAGACCAAGTTATGACCTCTGTTTTGTTTCTAATACTGTTATTTGTATCTTCTTTTTTTTTCTTGGTTAGCTTGATTAGAAGTAGAACACTTTTACTGAAATTTTCAAAGAATTGACTTTAGGGTTTATTGATTTTTCTTTTTCTTTTTTCAATTTCATTGAGGTCTGCTCTAATTTTTATTTCTTTTTTTTTCTGCTTGCTTGCTATAGCTTGAATTGTTCTTCTTTCTCTATTTTCCTAATATGGAAGTTATATTATTAATTTAAAATGTTTAATGTCTTCTAATACATAAATTTAATGCTACAAATTTAATCTCTACCGATTTTTCTGCATCTCACAAAATTTAATGATATACATTTATTTTAATTTAAAACAGAAAGCTTGCATATTTCTTGAGACTTTTGACCCATGTTAGAAGTGTGTGTGTGTGTTTTATCTCTAAATAATTGGGGGCTTTCCAGATATATTTTCAATATATATTGATTTTCAGTTTAATTTTATTTTGGGCTGAAACCATAATTTGCATTACTTCTATTCTTTTAAATTTGTTAAAGTAACATTTCTGGTTCAGAATGTGTTTTATCTTGGTGAATATTCCATCCTGTTACTGTATGAAGTGTTTTATAAAATGTCAGTTAGATCAAGTTGATTGATAGTACTCTTCAGGTCAACTATACCCTTACCAATTTTATATCTGCTTGATGCATCCCTTACTGAAAGATGATGTTGAATCTCCAATTACAATACCAAGTTTATCTATATCTCTTTTCTATCAGTCTGTAATTTGATACTCTGTTGCTAGGTTCATACACCTTTAGGATTGTTTTATTTCTTGAGGAATTGACTCCTTTTTGATATATAATGCCTCTCTTAATTCTCCATAATTTTCCTTTTTCTGAAGCCTCATGTGTCTGAAACTAATTTAGTACTCCAGCTTTCTTCTGATTCACCATAAGCGTGCAATGTCATTCTCCATCACTTACATTTAGCCTACCTTTTATATTTGAAATCAGTTTCTTGCAGACAAAATATATGGTGGCATCTTTATTTTTTTATCCACTCTGACAGTGTCTTTTAATTATTTATATTTTGATGATAATTTGAAGTTATTTCTTTAGTATCTTCTGATTAATTTTTATTAATTGTAGTTTTTCTTTGTTCCGCCCCGCCCCATGTTTTTCTGACTTATCTGGTTTAAATTGAATGTTTTATATGATTTTATCTCCTCTCCTAGCATATAAAACATACTTTAAAATATGTTAGTATTTTTCCTAGAGTTTTCAATACACAATTTTTTACTAATCTATCTTCAAATAATACTATACCAGATCATGTATTGCTTAGTTTCCTAATAAAAATGTTCCCAATTTCTTCCTCCCTTTATGACCATTGTTGTCATTCCTTTTATTTACCTATATGCTATAATCATTCAATGCATCGTTACTATTATTAATCTAAACCATCAGTTATCTTTTAGGAAAATTAAGAATAAGAAAGAAAATATCTTTATGCATTCCTCCTCTCATATTTTTATTTCTTTACATAAACTTTCCTACCCATATCATTTTCCTCCTCTCTGAATAACCTCTTTTAACATTTCTTGGAGGACATGTCTGCTGATGGTAAACTCCTTCAGTTTTTGTTTGTCTGAGAAAGGTTTAATTTCTCCTTTATTTTTGAAAAACAATTTGATTCAATACACAATTTTAGTTTGGTGATTTTTCTTTCAATCCTTTAAATATTGGACTCCACTCTGTTCTTATTTACAGGACTTCTGCTGAGAAATTCACTGTAATTCTTATCCTATTTCCTCTGCAACTAAGTTGTTTTTCCTTCCTCTATAGTTTCTTCAAGACTTTTTCTTTGCTTTTGGTGTTCTGCTGTTTGAATATGATATGCCTATGTGTAATACTTTTTGAAGTCCTTAGTCATATATTTCTTCTGCTCTATTTCTTTTTTCTTTTCATTCTAAAATTTTTATTCTAAATTTATGAATTACATATTCAAAAATATGTATTTTGCACATTTGAAAATTGTCCCACATTTCTTGGCAGATGTTCTGAGTTTTTTGTTCTGTTTTTGTTTTTATTTTTTTTTCTCTTTGTCTTTTAGTTTCAGGAATTTCTATTGACCTATCTTCAAGCTCATGAATTACTTTATTGGCCACGTCCAGTCTGAGAGTATTAAAGAAATTATTCATCTTTTACAATGTCTTTGCTTATCACTCCCTTTATTTTTTAGAGCTTCCATCTCTCTGCTTACATTAACCATCTGTTCTTTCATGCTGTCTACTTTTCCATTAGAGCCCTTAACATATTAATCAGTTATTTAAAATTCTTTATTTGATAATTTCAACTCTGCATTATGCTTGCTTTTTCTATTCTGACTCCTTTTCTGTTACTTTTTTGGCATGCCTTGAAATTTTTTTAAAAAGTTGGACACACTGTATTGGATAATGGTAAGTAAGGAAAGTAGGTCATTAGCGTGAGGCTTTATTTTAATCTGGCCAGTAATGGGATGTTTTCAATGTTTGTTGTGGCTGTAGATCCTAAAGTCTTCAAAGTCTTCTAGTGTCCTTCTTTTCCTTTCCCTCTTAACTTTGATCTTCCCTAAGTAGCTCCCCCCTCATAGAACAACTGTGTCCTACAGTGCTTTCAGTTGTAATGCACTGTTATTATGCCGGAGCTCTACTGGCATGGTAGTAAGATACAAAAGAGGGGAGCATTCTATCGCCTGTAATTGTATTATCAAAGGTTAGACTGTTAATAGTCCTGTTTCCCTGGGCCGTGACAGTCACAAGTGTTTCTAAGCTTTTTGTTTAGCCTTAGGTGAGAAAGGAAGGCTAGAAGGGGGCTGGAATTAAGTGATTTACTTTCCTCCACATTAAACAAAGCTCAGGTAAAGTGTGTTCTCTTGGAGAGGAAGTCTTTGTTAGAGAGAATGATGTAGGAGTATTTAATAACTATTACTCTTCCCATCCACTTGCCAGAGCCAAGAGAAGATATCTCTCAGATCTTCATTATGAGAATCTAGTGAGGTTCCATAGGGTTCCTGGAAGTAAAACTCCCAAAAGTCTGGGAATCCCTCTAACACTGTTTCAACCCCAGGGTTTTCTTACTCTTATGTTATTCCAACAATTTATCACAATTATCATTTAAGTCTATCAATTTATTGTTCCAGTGTCTTCTGCTCCAGGTAAACAGATCTTGACTGCAGCTCTCTGGTTTTACCCACCAATTCATATTTTCAAGTGGCAGTTTGCTTTGTGAACTCAATTTGTCTAAGAAAAATTGTTGATTTCTTTCTTTGGCTATTTCTAGTTGTTAGAATGAAGGTGACAATTTCCAAGCTTTTTATATTTCAGAGCTAAAATCAAAAGTCCATTGTATTAGTCCATTTTTATACTGCTATAAAGAACTTCCCAAAACTCGGTAATTTATAAAGGAAAGAGGTTTAATTGACACATGGTTTAGCATGGCTGAGGAGGCCTCAGGAAGCTTACAATCATGGCAGAAAGCAAAGGGGAAGCGAGGTGGCCGGAAGGAGAGGTTCTGAGTGAAGGGGGAAGAGCCCCTTATAAAACCATCAGATCTGGTGAGAACTCACAATCATGAGAACAGCATAGGGGAAAATGCTCCCATGATTCACTTACCTCCACCTGGTCCCTCACTTGACACGTGGGGCTTGTGGGGATTATGGGGATTATGGAGATTACAATTTAAGATGAAATTTGGGTGGAGACACAAAGTCTAACCCTATCATCTACAGATTGCTATGTTTTCTACTTTATACATGGCAACAGTTTTTGATTTTTAGTTATGCATCAGGCATGGATATCACAAAACCAACTTTGTTGTTCAAAAAATGCAACCTGTAAATTTCTTTAAAACAAATTCTATGATTGAGTTCCGGTCCCAGTAACTGACAGATTAGTAAATCTGTTCAATTCAGGAACTATATGCCTGTTTTCTCAGAATTTTTTTTTGAGTTCCCAGGAAACTGCATGGCAGCCTGCCCTTTGTGCAGTAAGAAAGGAAACACTTGGATCTTGGTTGTCACATACCCTTATGGCATTTACTGCCGCATCCTCACTTCTACCCAGTTATTGGCTCATGCAGATAATGGCTACTTCTTTCTAGTACCAGTGGCATGGCCTCCCCAGGTTTGCCAGGTCTCTCTGCCAATGCTGCTCTTGTCTAGAACACACAGAAAATGATCTGTTGCTTCTTACATTAACAGACAAACAGAGAGCCAAATCATGGGTGAACTCCCATTCACAATTGCTTTACAGAGAATAAAATACCTAGGAATCCAACTTACAAGGGATGTGAAGGACCTCTTCAAGGAGAACTACAAACCACTGCTCAATGAAATAAAGGAGGACACAAACAAATGGAAGAACATTCCATGCTCATGGATAGGAAGAATCAGTATCGTGAAAATGGCCATACTGCCCAAGGTAATTTATAGATTTAATGCCATCCCCATCAAGCTACCAATGACTTTCTTCACAGAATTGGAAAAAACTACTTTAAAGTTCATCTGGAACCAAAAAAGAGCCCGCATTGCCAAGACAATCCTAAGCCAAAAGAACAAAGCTGGAGGCATCAGGCTATCTGAGTTTCAAACCATACTACAAGGCTACAGTAACAAAAACAGCATGGTACTGATACCAAAACAGAGATATAGAGCAATGGAACAGAACAGAGCCCTCAGAAATAATACCACACATCTACAACCATCTGATCTTTGACAAACCTGACAAAAACAAGAAATGGGGAAACGATTCCCTATTTAATAAATGGTGCTGGGAAAACTGGCTAGCCATATGTGGAAAGCTGAAACTGGATCTCTGCCTTATACCTTATACAAAAATTAATTCAAGATGGATTAAAGACTTCAATGTTAGACCTAAAACCATAAAAACCATAGAAGAAAACCTAGGCAATACCATTCAGGACACAGGCATGGGCAAGGACTTCATGACTAAAACACCAAAAGCAATGGCAACAAAAGCCAAAAATGACAAATGGGATCTAAATAAACTAAGAGCTTCTGCACAGCAAAAGAAACTACCATCAGAGTGAACAGGCAACCTACAGAATGGGAGAAAATTTTTGCAATCTACTCATCTGACAAAGGGTTAATATCCAGAAACTACAAAGAACTCAAATGAATTTACAAGAAAAAATCAAACAACCCCATCAACAAGTGGGCGAAGGATATGAACAGACACTTCTCAAAAGAAGACATTTATGCAGCCAAAAGACACATGAAAAAATGCTCATCATCACTGGCCATCAGAGAAATGCAAGTCAAAACCACAAGAGATACCATCTCACACCGGTTAGAATGGCGATCATTAAGAAGTCAGGAAACAACAGGTGCTGGAGAGGATGTGGAGAAATAGGAACACTTTTACACTGTTGGTGGGACTGTAAACTGAATCAACCATTGTGGAAGACAGTGTGGCGATTCCTCAAGGATCTACAACTAGAAATACCATTTGACCCAGCCATCCCATTACTGGGTATATACCCAAAGGATTATAAATCATGCTGCTATAAAGACACACACACACGTATGTTTATTGCAGCACTATTCACAATAGCAAAGACTTGGAACCAACCCAAATGTCCATCAATGATAGACTGGATTAAGGAAATGTGGCACATATACACCATGGAATACTATGCAGTCATAAAAAAGGATGAGTTCATGTCCTTTGTAGGGACATGGATGAAGCTGAAAACCATCATTCTCAGCAAACTATCGCAGGGACAAAAAACCAAACACCACATGTTCTCACTCACAGGTGGGAATTGAACAATGAGAACACTTGGTCACAGGAAGGGTAACATCACACACCGGGGCCTGTTGTGGGGTGGAGGGAGCGGGGAGGGATAGCATTAGGAGATATACCTAATGTAAATGACGAGTTAATGGGTGCAGCACACCAACATGGCACATGTATACATATGTAACAAACCTGCACGTTGTGCACATGCACCCTAGAACTTGAAGTATAATAATAAAAGAAAATGTAACAAAATTTTATTCATGTATAAATATATAATATTAATCATATAAACATTTATGCATTGTTTTATGACTGCACAAAATGATTACATAGAATTAGATTAAAAGTTACACTTTTTTAGAATATTTTCTTACTGGTTTTTAATAAACATTGATTCAGAATTACTGGTGCATAAGATCATATCAATTTATAGATTATAATTAATGGCAAGGCCTGTATTTTACAACCTAATGTATCTAGTGAAATCTGTCACTAGTTATAAAGGATGGTAAATTTGAGAGCTTATCTGAGTAGTTAAAACTATCAGATTTTGTCTTATCTGTTGCTCAGCAATTGCTCTAATATGGCATTGTGTTGAATGTAGAAAGCAGTCAGCAACTGGTATCCAACGAGTATCTACTTTCTGCTGGGTGTAATTTAGTTTTATAATTATGTTGAAATTGAGATAGTACATAATTTGCCCAGGGTCACTGTGATAGCCAATTGCATAGTTCATATTTGAATCCTGTATGAGTTATTGACTTCAAAGCTGTTATTTTACCTTCTCCTATATCAATATCAGATTATAGATATATAAACACAATTGATTTGGCATTGTGGTAAGCAGTAGGGATAGTGAGTGGGAGTACAGTAAAAAGTCAGATCATATTGTTCCCCATCATCTCATATGCCTTTGTCCTCCACACTCGAAATTCAATCAAATTTAAAAATAAAATTATAAATAAAAAATAAACATTGCCTAGGCCAATGAGGACGAATTCTGTGCGTGTGCACTCAAATTCATCTTGCAAGCCCACATTGCTCTTTTTCCTAATACATTATTATAGATTTTTGAATGAAACATTTATTCTTCATAACACCTCTTTGTCTTTTATCAGTGCTTGGAGAGCAGTTACTGGCATGTTATGTTTTAAGAATAAAAGTTGTATTCAGTTTATTTTAGTTATGTTATTGTAAATGCTTTATTTTCTGCTTGTGTCGGCTCTGGGTTGGAGTGAAACACAAATAGTGGAAAAGAGGAATCCGTGCAGCAGGATTTTTCACACTTTACAAAGTGTTACAAAGTGATAATTAACAATGTGCTAAATACTACGTGATAATGCTCAACAGAATAAGGTGAAAATTAATTGTCTGAGATACGATATCACTAGAATGGTTCATTTCCTTAAAAGCAATTGATGCAGACAAATATTGGCAGTCTCTAGTTTTGAGGTACATAATACACTGTCATCAGCTCAATTGAATTGAACCACTCCTAGTCATTGCCATCATCTTTCATTCATACTTCTGTTCCTCCAACAAATATTTATTGAATATCAATGTTGTGCCTGATACTGTGACAGATGTTGAGGATTAAGCAGCAAACAATACACACATGGTCTCTGCTCTCATGGGAATTTTACTGTATCAATTGCTGTTACCATCATCATTGTTATATTCAATATCACTATCACCATCATTGTTATCATTATCAACATTGACTCTGGGGACAAATTCTATATTAATGGGAGAAGTAAGAGAGGGAAAAACATTAGGAGGAGACTTACATTTCGTAGGGTACTCTTTCTCTTTTCTTGTCATGCTCATTCTTATCTTTACAGTGCAAGTATAAAATGTTACTTTGCAGAAAGACCTTCTTTGACCACCCCATTTAAAGTAGGACATACCCTCAATTATTCTTTATCACACGACCTTGGAATGTATTGGACACTCAAATTATACTTTCTGAATGAATGCATAAAATGACATGTTTGATCTCTTGCCATATCGCTAATGACCACTGTGACACATATGTCCAGAAATGGTCATCAGAGGCACCAACCCACGAACTCAGGAATTGCACCAGGGTTTTATCTACAACCAACTCCTTTACCCCATCACTGTCAACAACTCCTTCAGTTTACAATTGTGTAACTTGAAACTCCCCTTTCCCTATTTCAGGGTGGGTGTGTTACTGTGATGGTGCTGGTCCTGCTAGTATCCACCCAGGTTTTAGCAGCAAGGACACGCCTGATCAGTCCTGGGCTCCCACGTGTTAGATATGGGGAAATGAAAAATATCATCCATTATGCTGGTTAGAATTATGAAGAATTAAATTAGAGTGATAATAGTGGGAACTGAAAGAGGGATAAGAATCCAAAAGACAAAATAGGACATTACAATTTACTGAAAGAGATGAGCGAAAATGTTGCAGATATATGAGAAACAGAAGAGTATGTTGCCATTCACTGTGATAACTCAGGAAGAACAGCAGAACAAATAATGGAGATGGTTAGTTCCACTGTAGATATGTTGATAACATGGCCATTTGTTGGAAAAGATCGGTTGAGAATAGAAAGATGTGAAGATACAGAAATTTTAAGTGTTGATAGTTTAAACATTGCTGCTGCCATTCACTGGAACTGGGAGCAAACAAAAGGAAGGTGATGGTTGTTTCCATTGTAGAAATATTGAGGACGAGAGATCAAGCAGGCCACTTTAAAGGCCTGTGTTAGCCTTTTGTAGTAATTCAGTTATCTCTTTCTCTCTCTCTTTCTCTATCCATCCATCCACCCACCCACCCATCCATCCATCCGTTTATCCATCCATCCTTCTTCTATGTTCTGATTCACCATATAGACAAGAGAAGGAAAGGAAATTGATAACATAAAACAAGTAAAAATTTAATGATAGCAGAAAGGTCCAAGGGTAGGACCTTGGGGGAATGAGGCAATAAAATAAAAGTATTATCAGAGATATAGAGGGGGAGCCAGTATCAAAGTAATGATAACACTGGAAGGATATCGATGCAAGAGGAAAGCTAAGAAAAATAGTGTTAAAAATGTGGTATAGGTCAGAGACATAAAGGCAAAGTCAAGACTTTTCTGGTTCAGAATGTATATTTTTGGTGAGCTTAGTTCAAATAGTCATGGGCGATCTCTGGGGGTGAGGGCAGACTGTAGCAGATCAGCAACTGTAAGTGAGGAGAGGGAGCGTTTTATGAAAAGCAAAATGTACTTTTGGGAAATGACATGCTAAGCACCTTAAAAATTTGTGTACCCTCAGTTTTGAAAGAGCTTCCCCCAGATAACTACTATGCTGTCTCTCCTTTGTCTAATCCAGATCTCTGCTTAACTGTTATTCCCCCTCAGAGAGGGCTGTTTTGAACACCTGTGCCTGTAGTGCCTGTTTTCCTTTCCAGACTCTTCTCTGTCCTTCTTTATCCTGCCCTGAGTTCTACCAGGCTAGGTCATATTTACTGCACTAATGAACTTCCTTGACATTTTATTTCTTATAGGGTTTGTCTATTGGGGGAAGAGACTAGATGGGGGAAGACCTGTTAGTTTGGGGTATTTATTCCTCTGTTTTTGTGGGAGTCACCACTGAAGTTCACAGTCCATTGCATGTGGCTCTTTTTATACACTTTCTATTCTACATTCTATTCCAGATTCATTCAGTCCTTCTTCCACACTGGTAAGGTAGACAGCCAGTACTATCCCCAGAGCGATAAAATCACCTTGGGGTTTTCCCAACACCCTGTCCATACCTTTTATAATAGTCCCTTTATTAAATTACCTTCAATTATCTCAACTTGAATGTGCCACCAGGGTCCTGTCAGAACCCTAAGTGATACGCAATATTGTATAAAATAGAGGCCCCATAACTCTTATTACATTACACTGCTTTATTTTCCTTCAGAGTATTTATCACCATTTAGCATGGCTATATATTTATTTGTTTACTATCTTGCTCACTATAATGCAAAATCCACAAGTTAATGGACTTTTTCTATTCTGTTTACTGTTACATCCTATCATCTAGAGCAATGCTTGCCATATAGGTCATATATATATATGTATATTCATATTTATATGATATACATACAAATCATACACCACATTTATCATAGCATTGCCACTTAGCTTTAGTTTTCATCTCTTCCTCCAATATATTTAGAATAAGAAAAATATTCTTTTTATATACTAAGTTGTTTACACTATCACAACCAGTAATAATTATACCCTGAAAGTTTTAAATCCTAAAAGTTTCAAATTTGAGAAAATTGTGCTTGTATGACTTATCCAAAACTGCAGTCATCTGTATGTGTGTGTGTGTGTTTGACATAGAGAGAGGGAAAGAGAGAGAGAGAGTCTGTGATGGCTATTCCAAAATTATTTTACTTCATATATTTGTAAGGACAGATTTTTCTATTTACCTACCACTATTTCAAAGTTTTGAAACTGACTGAATGAATCAATTTTCAGGAAGTATGTAAATTCCAAGGGGAAATTGGAAGAGAGATTACAGTAAAAGAGGAAAATAACATACCCGTCTGTATTTCCATTTAACAGAACCTTGTAAAAATTACTGTTTGAAACCCTTTTATATTAGTCAACATTCCAGAGAATATTAAGAGTTCGCCAAAAAGGATAATTGCATCTTTTAAAATTTTAAGCAGTATGATGTGTTTAACTGTGAACTATTTTTGAGTATTTAAGCTGCACATATACATTTTTAATTTTGATTGCTCCAGTGAGCCATGAAGCTATTTGCTAGAGATATACTTCAGAAAAGAACTACCAACACAGTTAACTCACCACTTATCCTTGCCCACTGCATAATTACATGTAAGAGAGCTTTTAAAAATATGCTGCCCTTTTAAAAGAAATAGTATATAACAGAACAAAGTGTATGGCACAGATTCATAATAATCTCTATAGCATTCCTATGATTGTAATTATAATAAGGAAATTACAACACCTTGTAAGAGTTCTTTAATGTACAAATGTTTTCATATAAGTCATCATTTTATACTAACACCAAACTAGTGGATAGTATTATTCCTAATTTCATATAAAAAAACTGAGTAATGAAGCAGTTAAAGGGCTTGTTTGAGATCATGCAGGCAGTGTTTAAGCTAAAACACAGGCTGTCATAAGGTCCTACTCATAAGAAATTATATTGAATCTTCTCCCACAAAAACTCTGTGACCTTGGGCAGATTGTTTACATTTTCTAATTCTCAGTTTTTTTCAGCTATAAAACTGTCAGTAGTAATATCTGGGTTATATTTTGACAAATATTAAGCTATATCATATATAACTAGTTAAACTGATACGTGATAATAATAATAATTGTGGTTTTATTATTTTGCTCCTATTCTAATTACAATTCTGTGATTTAGATTTGAATAGTATTTGGAATAAAAATATTTAGTTCTATAGAAGGGCAAATCATTGATGACTGGGTTCCTTCCTATAAGATCAATTTTTATAAAGATATTTTGGGAATAAAATTATTGGCATTTATGGAGATAAATGTTCAAATGGTCATGTACCTTCAGTGGCAGACTTCAGTATGCTTACATGTAATTATCACATCGCTAAACCCACTGCAAGGAGGCAACGCAGATGACCCTTTGTTCCCATCCTGCAAGAGGAGAAAATTGCCCTGGATTCAGAGAGCATTAGTTTTTAAATCTTATTTTTTTCCCCACTCACTTTCTTGTTGCTTTCAGTAAAATCGTGTAACTTTCTAGCAGCTCAGCTCCCTAATTCATAAAACTGGCATAATAATATGTGTTCTTTCATACATACAAGAAGAGTTGCATAATTGAATCTTTTTATTAGTCAGGATAGTCTAGGTTATATGCGGTTTCCAAGTAACCCCAAGAGTCAGTGTCACATCATAACAAATGGTTTACTCATGCAACATTAACTTTTGGTCTAGGTGATTCCCCAGACCAGCTGTCTTCTATGTGTTAACTCAGCATCTCTGGCGGCTTCTACCTGACTGTATGCTTCCACAAACATTGTTGTAGAGGAAGCATAGTTTGGAAAGTTAAGCACCAACAGTTAAATGTCTCCACCTGGAAATAATGCATATAATTTGTGCTTTATTACAGATAGGTAGGAGGCATAACTTCTAGTGTTTTATACCACTGCAGGCTGATAATCATAGATAATAACATAGTTTCAAATGGCTACAAGGAATATATTGACTATTCCCAAGACAAAGAGATGATAAATACTTGAGATGATGGATTACCCTGATCTGATCACTATACATATGGATCAAAAGATCACTTTGTACTCAATAAATATGTAAAATTATTATATGTCATTTACAAAAAGGAAATCATGTACCCATACACATGACTTTGAGTAGAGGAAACTAAGCTTTCTTCCTGGACTCAAAGGTAGATGAAAACCATATATTGTTGAACAGCAGTGTAACCTGCCACAATTGAGATCACAGTTGCCAAGGAGAGTCTATTTGAAGAATATGAAACCATTAAACTCCACATCAACGTAGATCACAAAGCAGTTTCCTGTATACAAACAGGACATGGCTTTAAGTCAAGTGGGTTCTTGGCTGTAATAGGTTATTTTTAAAATGGAATATGTGGCTTTATCACTATCAGAGAGAACCAGAAAATTCCTGTGGTGTCATAAAACAAGTCTCAACGCTGAGAAAACAATGAATACTGCTCCAAGAGGTAAACCTTAGAACTAGAGAGGATTCCTATATGAAAGCTGAAGTGACCATTTTGCAGTTTGTTCTGAAAGACAGAAATAACAAATTCTAAAACTTGTTTTTGCATGGATATGCATACACACCATAGCGTGGATTACAAATGAAGGTTCCAAACTTAATGTGTGAACATTAAGCAATTGCAATATGAGAGATGGAGAAATTTCTGCAATTGTCATTTTAAGCCCAGCGTAATAAAATAAAGTTTGAATTTAGGCACTTTCTTTTATGGTTTTAATTATTCTTGCTCAATTATTTTTCTTGCATTCATGAAGTCTGGAGATAAAGAACCTCATAAGTCCCTGTTTCCTATTGCTGTATGGAACGGACTGAAGCAGATGCTATTGGTTTCCTGACCGGGTCCTCTTTCTTTATTAGGATATTGCTTCCATTTGGTATTGCTGCTAGTGTCTAAGACTCACACTCTCCTTCACCAGAACATTGTCCTTGGCTAACAGGAGGCAGCACACTCAGAGATGTCTGGGATACTGGGAGGTTATTCAACCCACTTCTCCGAGGCATCCTGCAGCCAAACAGTGACTGATGGAGTATCACTCCCTTACCTTCTTTCCTTGAGGTGGGACTTCTGTGATACCAATTTATGCTCTAGAGTTTCCTGTGATGTGAGGCTGAATTCTGGAAATCACACCTCTGCTAGGTTGTTTCTCCATCTTGACCTCTTCTCTCATTCCCTACAGATTTCTCCTGTGAACCCTATTTCAACAAATCACTTTCACAAGAAACCCTGTCTCAGGCTCTGCTTCAAGGCCTGAGCTAAGACATTGGATATAGTCAACTTAATTAGTGCTGTCAATATTCTAGTGTCTAGAACCAGCCAAGAGCTGTACTTAGAGAAAACAATCTTTACAAGATTATTTCTGCATGGGTTGGCTATGCATTGGACAAACAAATCAACAAAAAAGTAAACTAGAAAGGCTTAAAACAGTATCCTCTACCCTGGGCTCTGCATTGAACCACAGAATATTGTTGTACACTCCATCAACAGAATATTTTGAGTCAGTCTCACAGATAAGGTGATATTACTCTTTTGACTTGGCTGCTAATTACATAAAAATTGCACTGGACTTTGAGAGGTAGACATCACAATTTAAGAAACTGTTGATAATACAAGCATTGCTGACCTCTCAGATCACTAGGGTAGAAACTCTAAGAAATTCCTTGCAGAGTTTATTAGAACACAATGGAGTTCATAGTTCTGCCATATCATCCTTATTAAAGTCTCAGGTACTATATTGTAAGTTCTGGACACCACATTCTAAGGGACAATCTAAGGAAGTTGCCTATAGGCAATCTGGTATTCAGGAAAAATGGATTAGAGTTTGGGGGGATTGTGATGTAAACATGTGTCATAAGAACTGCAAAGTTTTATGGACATATCCTGAACATCTTCCATTATGAATAACTAGTACGCAGCAGCTGTATCATGAAATTGTATGCAAGTATTTATCAACTTCCGAGTCATCTAAATTAACTGGTACGAATACATATTTTCTAATTAAGTAGAAGTTGAAATTAGTTAAAAATAAATTTCACTAATTTTTGGATTGTGAGAAAGTACCTTCTTTATATTTTCTAAAAATGTTTAAGCAAATGCAAGAACCTCAGGTACTATTTTAGTTGCTTTAAGAAAATGAAGATTATTTTCCAATGAAACACTTATTATAATAATAAAATATATTTTAAAAAAGAAGATACAATTAAGGAAAAACAAACCCTTGGTTCATAACTATCACATTGTAGCCCATAAGTATACACAATTATTACTTGTCAATGAAGAGATAAATTAAAAAGCCCAGAGGAGGCCCCAAAACCAACCAACTGAAGAAAACAACCAAACAAACAAAACCCCCCAAAACAAAACAGAGGTGTCAAAACATTCCAAAGGACTGAGGATCCTCTTGGTGGTATCTATGCTGGTGTTGGAGCATTTAAGTATCACTACAACATCCAGCATCATTCAGATATGAATGTTATGCCTCCAGACCACCCTCATACATGTAGCTGGAGGTGCTTATAAGCATGGAGAGTTCCAGGCTCTACCCAGACAAGCAATGTCAAAATCTCAGGAATCCAGGTTCACTTTCAAAATCACTGTAATGTTTTCCAAACCCAGACTGTTTCTAATGATATTTTTAGGGTACTCATGAAGAACAATCAATCCATTTCTTGTCTTTTTTCAACCTAAAATATAGAAAATATTTTTTCCCAATAGCTGCAGTGGCCAATGGTGGCAAAATATCTTACTGTATTTCATACTAACCTAAAGCGATCATTCAAAGTTATCAGGCTATCTCACCATCACCTCTCCAATCTAGAATTTTCAATAATAATAAAAGTGTGCATAGCAGATTTAAAATATCTCAAAAGAAAAAGTGCAATGGTATTGTCCACAACTGCTGGTGATGTAGAGTGTTTATATTTAGACATGGGAAAGGATCAGTCTTGCTCCAAGTAGTTGGTACACATGGAATGTGAAGTGAGATTTTGTTTTCCATCTGATTAAATCCTGGAGAAGGTAGGGCCAGAGGGAAAGACATAAAGCTTTGGAGCCTGACATATCTGTCTTTGAGACCTGGCTCTGCTGTTTTCTGTTTGATTTTGGACAAGTTATTTGGCTTCTCTGTGCCTTAAAATTGTCTTTAGTAATTCAAGAAAAACACTTCAGTTCTCTGCAGGACAAATGTGAGAATTTAGTAAGAGAATAATTATAGCTAACATATATAGAGTGCTGCTGACGTGCCAGGTCCTACTCTAATAGATTTATATGTATGTAATACGTATTTATATATATATATATAATACGTATTTTATATATATATATGTTATCACATTTAATCCTTCTAGAACTCCATTTGATAGATACTCTAACTATTGCATTTGCATTTTGCAGATGAGGCAACTGAGACATACAGAGTTAAACTACTTTCATGAGGAGGCACAGATAATGAATTCAAGGTCCTACTTCTGATACTAAGCAGTCTAATTCAAGAACAAAAATAAGAAACTCTGGTTACTGAACTATATTCATTTTGGGTATTATTTCCATGAATTAATTGATGGAGTGCACTGTGCATATCACAAGAAATCAAGAATTTTAAGCTACCTGGCTTTGTCCCTTATTATTATTATTATTTTTTGAAATGGAGTTTCACTCTGTTGCCCAGGCTGAGTGCAGTGGTGCGATCTCGGCTCACAGCACCCTCTGCCTCCCGGATTCAAGTGATTCTCTTGCCTCAGCCTCCCAAGGAGCTAGGATTACAGGCGCCCACCACCATGCCTGGCTAATTTTTGTATTTTTAGTAGAGACGGGGTTTCACCATATTGGCTAGGCTGGTCTTGAACCCCTGACCTCGTGATCCATCCGCCTCGGCCTCCCAAAGTGCTGGGATTACAGGTGTGAGCCACGGCGCCTGGCCTGTCCCTTATCTTTTTGGGATAGACTGAACCACTAAAGACAAGTCAATTTTGTTGGTCTATTTATACATTTTGTTTGTCTATTAACTGGCAATACTAATTCTAAACTACTATTCCAAATGATTCTCTTACAATGACAGCCTCTACTTCTTTTTCATGAACTTGTCGTCAAGCAATGCGGTAAACAAATGCCTGCCTCACAAGCAGCCCTTAGGTATGTTATATAATTTTGCAGAAATGTAATAAACATGGATATAGAGAGGGTTGGCTATGTTTTACCAGCACAGACTTACATACAAGTGCAAACTTTGCATTTTAGTTAGCCCCACAAATGAGAAGTATAAAAACAATATTAAAGATAGATGATCACTGAAGTAGCATATGCTTAAAATTCAAGATTTTGAATGTGGTGTTTTGTTTGTTTTTCATACGAGCACTGCTGATCCAGCATTTATTATGCCATTTGACTATCCTGAGACCCAGGATGGATATTATGTGAAGCACCTGACAATTCAAGTAAAAGATAATCTGATTTTTTTCTCCCAAACTGGTCAATAATAAATGAGTTTTAAACTTTAAATCAAAACAATGGATTTCTCACAGTACATTATTGATAAGGCACACTTATTCTAACAACATTTTCAAAGAACAATGTATTATTTACTGCCTCTACTAATAAAAACTCTAACATAAATGAAAGCATTAAGCTAAAAAATAATAATCAGACAGGCCTGACCATGTTAAACATTCCGCAGGGCACTTGGAAATTTGGATCGAGAAAATATGTAACATGATTTGTTCCTCAAATTCCCTAAAAATTATTTTTTAACATTGGGTAGTAAAATACAAGTTTCTTATAATGGCGTGACATTTATAGCCAAATACTAAAACATCCAATAATTATTCCATGTGGGTTTCTGTACATAATGCTGACCTGAGTAATGCAATTTGAGAAAGTGACAAGGAACTCTTCACAGTAATAAAGTTGTATGAGGCAAGGATACTACTTTAAAGACTTATTTCAGAATTAGAAATTTTTTCTATGATTTTTTTTCCAGGAACATTTTGATTCTTTTAAATTCCATATCTAAAAAATTTCAAGATTAATAAAAGTATGCTGACTGGAATTGTTTATTGAATGAATAAGTGAATGCATGAATGATTATAGAAAGGAGAAAAACAATGGAGGCAGGCATAGAGATTTCTAGTGAACTAAAAAATTATAAACAAAGATAAAAATGTAACATCATCGTAGTATGCTTTTTTGGGCCTCTGATATGTGGTAGTCCATTTGCTTATAATAGCCTTTTTAAAAACTTTCATTTATTTTAAATTGAAATGTATATTGAGGTAATTATAGATTTATATGTTGGGTAAGAAATAGTAAAGAGGATTGTTGTAAGAAATAGTAAAGAGAAATCTCTTGTACACTTTGTCCAGTTTCCCTTAATAGTGACATTCGACAAACCTGTAGTGCAATTTCATAACCAGGACATGATAAAATCTACTCACATTATTTATATGTCCTTAGTTTTACTTGCACATGTGAGATTGTACTGAGTTTTATAAAATTTTATATACACCTCTGTAGGTGTGTTCATTGTCACAGTCAAGGTAATAACACAATGATTACTTCCATATCTTACCACACACCTTACTCCCACCCTATACTACCTCCCCCCATCTTAACTACTAGCAACTACCATCTCTACTTCTAAAATTGTATCATTTCAAATATGTTACATAAATGAAAATATGTTGCATGCAACCTTTTGAGATTTTTATTCTGCATAATATCTAGAGATGTACGGAAGCTGTTATATCTATCAATAATTCATTGCTTTTCATTGGTATGTATGCACCAAAGTTTGGATAATTATTTGGCTATTAAATTATTTAGCTATTAAAGGACGGCTGAACTGATTTCAGTTTTTGGTTATTACAAATAAAGTTCCTGTAACTAGTCATGCACAGGAATTTTTGTGTGTATATACATTTTCATTTTAGGGGGATAAATACCAAGAAATAAAATTGTTGCACTGTATGGTTGTTGCATGCTTAGTTTTGTAAGAAGCTGTCAACATGTTTTTCAGAGCGGTGGTACCATTTTACATTCCCACTAGCAATGCATATTTAATTCAGTTTCCTCACATCCAGACCAGCATTTATTGTCACTATTATATATTTTAAGCATGGGTGTAGTGATAAGTAATTATGTTAATTTGCATTTCTCAGATGGCTGTTGATATCAAACCTTTTTATGTGATTATTTGCCATCTATCTTTTCAGTAAATGTCTGTTCATGTATTTTGCCCATTTTCTAAGTTTGTTTTTCTGTTGTTTTCAGAATTACATATGTATTTCTAGGAAAATACCGTCTCTATATACTATATAGTATATATATAGTCTCTATATACTATATAGTATATATATAGTCTCTATATACTGTATGGTATATATATAGTCTCTATATACTGTATGGTATATATATAGTCTCTATATACTGTATGGTATATATATAGTCTCTATATACTGTATAGTATATATATAGTCTCTATATACTGTATAGTATATATATAGTCTCTATATACTATATACATAGTGTATATATATAGACTCTATATAGTATATATATAGTATAGTGTTTATATAGTCTCTATATATAGAGACTAAGAAAATATATAGTCTCTATACAGTCTCTATATAGTGTACATATATAGTCTCTATATATGATATGTATAGTCTATAGTCTCTCTATACAGACTTTATATATGTATAGACTATATATATAAAAAAGAACATATAGATTGGAAGACTATATATATATCATCTATATAGACTATTTCGTGTGTGTGTATACACATACATATATATATAGAGAGAGAGAGAGAGAGAGAGTAAAAGATAACCTGATGTTTTTCTCCCAAACTTACTTGACTATACAGACTATATAGTCTCCCAATCTACACGTTCTTTTTTAATTTTCACATGGACTTTTCAAAAGTAAACTAAAATATTAAATTTGATGAGGTCCAGTATATCAACTGTCCATTTTATGGATCATGCCTTTGATGTCAAGTTTAAGAACTCTTTGCTTAGATTGAAAAAGGTTTTCTCCTAACTTATTTCTAAAATATTTATAATTTTTCATTTCAGATTTATGTGTGTGAGTTATTTTGAGTTGATTTTAGCATAGGGTGTGAGGTTTTGGTTGAGGTTTTTTTTTGCTCCTGGATATTCAATTGCTCCAGCCAGCACCCTTGGTTGAGAGGGCTGTCCTTTTACCATTGATTTGGTTTTTTACTCTAGTCAAAAATCAGTTGAGCATGTTTGTTTGAGTCTCTTTCTGGGTTCTATACTTTATTACACTGATTTGTACATCTATCCTTCTGCCACGACCACACTGTCTTGATTATTGTAGATACATAGTAAGTCTTAACACAGGGCAGAGTGATTTTGCTATTAATGAATAGTGTGTTCTGTATATGAGAACTAGATCCTATTGGTTGATTCATTTTTCAGATCTTCTGTATTCTTGCTGATGTTCTATTTAGTATTTCTTGCTGATGTTCTATTTAGTATTTCTATCAAGTTCTGAGTGGTGCAGGTGTTGAAGTTCCCAACAATTGTTGATTTGTTGATTGTTACTTTCAGCTCTTTTTATTATTGCTTCATGTATTTTATGTTTCCTTTGTTTGGCACATTTAGGATTGTTATCTTCCTGGTAGATAATCATTTTTTAATATGTATGCCCCCATTGTCTGCAGTAATTTTTTTTCCTCTGAATTCTAATTAGATATTATTGTAGTAATTTTTGTTCTTTAAAATCAATATCTGCATGTTAAGTTTTTTTCATCCGTTTTCTTTCAACTTACCTAAGTCTTAAAATTCTAAGTTGTTTCTTTTTTTATAAGCAGACAATAGTTGTGTCATCTTTTATCTGTCCTGCTAATCTCTCTTTTGGTTGGTATATTTAGATTATTTTTATTTAAGATAATTCCTGATATGTTAGCACTCATATCTGTCATTTTGTTTATTGTGTCTTTGCATTCTCATCTTTAATGTTGTTTTCATACTGTCCTATATGTTACTTGATCATGTTATATAATTTTAACATATTCAATATGCTATAAATAAAAATATGTTGTAGAATCATTACATATAATTGTATCTTGATTTATTTATGGTGTTTATCAACTACTTTTTGGGGTTTTCTTAGGTGCTTTGGGTATCATGATATTCATATGTAACCTACCAAAATCTACTGATATCAACATTTTACATCCTCAAGTGAAGTGTGGAGATGTCACTTTCATTTAGAACCCTTTACCTTCTCCATTTTTAAATATCTTTGTCTTGAGTATCAGATGGTGCTACAATTTCTGCTTCATAAGCAAATATGATTTATAAAACTCACGAGGAAAAGGATAGTCTTTTATATACCCATATTCATTTCTTTCATTATTTCTGCGTCATTCCTAATGCTCCAAAGTTATTTACTTTTTTTCTTTTTGAAGAATCTGTAAGGGTAGGTCTGCTCACAACAAAATATTCTCATTTTTCCATCTGAGATTTTCTTCATGTCCCATTCATTCCTGAAGAGTAGTTTTGTCAGAAATAGAATTTGTGATTGACAGTTCTTTTCCTTAACTGCTTGAAAAAATATTGTGCCACTCCTTCTGGCTTCCAAGGTTTTAGATGAGGAATCCATTGACATTTAAAATGGTATTCCCCAGAGGTAATATATTGTTTCTTTTTGGCTACTTTCAAGACTTTGTCTTTAATTTTCAAAAGTTTAATTATTACTTGCCTTAGTGTAAGTTTGTTTGAGTTTTTTCTGTTTGGAGTTTCCTCAAGCTTCTCAGACCTGTATGATAGTGTTTTCAACACAGTTGGGGAGTTTTCAGTGGTTATTTCATCAAATATTTTCAACCTCACTTTTTCTTCTCTCCTCTTGATACTCCAATAATATGAATATTGGATTTATGTCATTGTTCCATAGGCCTCTGAGGCTCTGGTCAGTTTTTTTTTTCTCAGTATGTTTTCTCTCTGTTGCTCACATTTGGTTAAATTGCATTGATATGCTATCAAGTTTGATAGTTTCTTTCATATGTTGTATACATGCTACTCTTGAGTCCATTCAGCGAATTTTCTTGTCATTTCTGTTACTGGGTTTAATTTTTTGTTATTGTATTTATCTTATTGTTTTCTCCAGCTTTTAAATTTTTATTTGGTTTCTTTGTATACATAACATTTTTCTCTGTTATTTTCTATTTCTATTTATTTGTTCTAAGACACTTTGTATTTGATTATTGAAATATTTTTATAATGATGGCTTTAAAATTCTCATCAGATAATTTCAGCATTTGATTCATATGGGTATTCACATCAGTTTATTATTCTTTCTCATTCAAGTGGTTTTCTTGGTGCTTGATATAATTGGTGGATTTATATTATATCCTTTGCATTTTCTGTATCAGGTTTAGAGACTGTGGGCTCTATATTTAAATGTTTGACTTAATAGGCAAACCCCCTCTTCATGTTTAGCATGCAAATCTTGACCTGCACTTGTGGGCTGTGGTTCCAATGGCAGTTTAATTTTCAGAGGCTTCGTGGTGTTAGGTGCCTTTAGCATCTTCCCCCACCCCAGCTGCCTGTTGTCTCTGGAAGGACAATCAGTCTCAGGACCTCTAAGTCAAAGACCATCTGCAGGCAGGCAGGCAGCTTGGTGCTGTTGGTCTGGTCTCTCCTTACTGTTTTTCTCCAAGCACTCCAGTGCCTCTAGACCAGGGCAGAGTTTTTCAGGCCTACCCACCTGCTGTGGCTAGGTCCCTCTTTTTGGCTGTGCCGCAGCCCCAGTGTTTCTAGACTGGGGTGAGAAAACTGGGGCAGGGAAAAGAAGGAGAATCTCAGGACTGTGAGGACAAAGGAGGTCTCCAGAGGAATTGCTTATGGTAACTGGGTCCCCTTTGCTGATTCTACCTACCTGTCCCTGTATTTCTCACTGGGGAAAAGGAGTCTCAGGGCACATTGGATAGAAGACTGCTTTTGCTAGACACCTATTTTTAGCAGAGCTTCTGATGAATCCTCCTTGCTGGTGGTGTTGGTATTGAGGTTACCTAGAACTCCAGTCCTTTCAGGAAGGATGAGCCTACCTGGCCCCGCTTCTATGGCTAGGCTGAGAGTCAAGAAATGGCACATCTAAGTAGACGTCTTCTATTGAATGGAGGAGGGAGACTTAGGATATCTTGCTACTGGGCTGTTCTTTTAGTCCTGGGGTTCCAAACCTTTTATCTTCTTCTTACCATCTTTGCAGAGTTGTCCTTTTGTTATTTCCTGCATTATTTCCAGTATTTATGTTGTGCTCACCAAGGAGAAACAGGGAGGAATAGGTCTGTACCATCTTCCCTGAATTGGAAGTCCCTAAAATATTCATTTTCGCTCATAAAATGAAGATGGATATTCATTTTCCCCATTTGTCAGTGGAGGAACTCAGGTACTGCACCTTGTGTTACTTGTTCAAGGTCAGGAAGTGAGCGAGTGGCAGTAGAAATAGCAAGCTTCATCTATCGGGGCTAAAAGAAAAATTCCTTTTCACTTTATGTCTTTCTCTGCATGTGGAACCAGTGTAATAAATACAAAAACAGCAGAAATAAAAATCCAAAAAGCACAAGTTCTGAGAAACGATTCTTTACCTATTATCATTTATTTGAGGGGGGAAAGTATATGTGTTCACCAAATTGTGTCATAACAAACACAGAAGCAAAGAAGATGAATGAAAAACAAATACCTTCTGGGAAATGCCAGACAAAGACAATAAGGACAGCTGTACTATGCACAAGATGTTCTCATGAAAGAAAAGCAGAACTCTGAAGGGCAGGTGTTGTGTTGGCAAAATGACTGGTTCAGTTCTGTGGCTGGCTCCTTGGCCCCTGTGTCCAAATCTGATTTCAGGAGGACTAGCACCAAAAAACAGGAGAAACACATTTGGCTTGGGAGTTTGCCAGAAAGCAATGACAGCTGAGTTGATTTTAGACTGTCTTCCCAGCCTGGGAAGAGTAAAAATGGCTAACTCCTTGTCTCTGTCTTTATCTGCTAGATATTTCAGATGCAGGCAGGAGGGCAGTCTGTAACTGACAACACCAGCAGTAATTACTGAGGAGACACTCTGTAAGGATAGGCTTTGTTTTGTTGTCTTCAAATACCAAAGGCAAATAATGAAGTGTTTACGAGAAGTGAAAGATCATCCCTCACTCATGTTCATGTTAATGAATTCCTGCATAAGTAAAAGAGATAATCTAAGCTATTGAGTAAATATGAACAAGTTCCAAATAAGGATCCCAGAGAAATGGCGGTGTCGGTGCAGTGAAGAGGAGAGGAGGGTGAGTGGGGAAGAGTTGAGGGAGGGCAAGGAGGATGGGGGAAGGCAATTTCAGCTCTTTCTCTTGTCCTGGTATGTGAAAGGTAAAAAGCGAAGAAACAATTTTGTTTTTCTTCAGATTTTTTTTTTCTTAATGAAAAGGAAATGTTATAAAATGACATGGAGGAACTGACTTGCAGCTTTTTATCGTGGGAGCTTCCAAGAAGGGATGGATGTTTGCCAATGTGACAGAAAGTGCTTAGCAATTCTTCCCTTCCTAAAACCAAGATTTGACACAAACTCTGTTCACACAAGGCAAATGCATCTAATAGACAGTGCTTTTGCTCCAAGGCAATTATCTGTCTGGTGCAACAACACATGAATTTTGTAGTGGGAAGGGGAGAAGAATATCTACCATTTATTGCATACTTACTGTGTACTAGACACTGAATAAGGTACTGTATATACAAAATGTCTCACAATTAACACTGTTCTGCAGTAGGATTACACAATTATCTGATGAGCAAATATCAAAGAGATTTAATAAGTTGCCTAAGCTGGGCACAGTGGCTCACCCCTGTAATCCTAGCATTTTGGGAGGCCGAGGAGGGTGGATCCTGAAGGAGTTTGAGACCAGCCTGGCCAACATGGGGAAACCCCGTCTCTACCAAAAATACAAAAAATTAGCTGGGCGTGGTGCTGGGCACCTGTAATCCCAGCTACTCAGGAGGCTGAAGGAGGAGAATTGCTTGAACCTGGGAGGCGGAGGTTGCAGTGAGCCAAGATTGCACCACTGCAATCCAGCCTGAGTGACAGAGCAAGACTCTTGTCTCTAAATAAATAAATAAGTTGCCTAAATTATCATAGCTAATAAGTGATATAACTGACAATAGAACCTAGAACTTTTTCATTCAATATTTGTATTGGTAAGAATTTTATTT
This sequence comes from Homo sapiens, assembly GCF_000001405.40. Lineage (NCBI taxonomy): Eukaryota > Metazoa > Chordata > Mammalia > Primates > Hominidae > Homo > Homo sapiens. The sequence goes on from NC_000016.10 coordinate 64,134,252, forward strand.
TTACTCACAAAGATACTGAATGAAAAAGTGTTTTCTATTTCATTTAAAATCCCAGAGTCCTTAATATGCCAATATGAATTACAAATATTAGAAGAAGGGAGGGTGCTGTGGCTTGTGCCTATAATCCCAACACTTTGGGGGCCTAGATGAGAGATTCACTTGAGGCCAGGAGTGCGACACCTGTGAGATCCCCATCAAACAAAGTTTTTATTGGGAATATCTTCTTGTAATTCCAAAGGCTTCTATGTGGACTTGGTTTGTTTCTGTTACTGTGCTAGGCATGAGACTATGGCTGCCCCTACTGAGCTCATAGACATTATGCAGTACTGTTGTGAACACAAATATGACCAAGTTATCCTGGCCACACCCAAGGGAATCATCATATAGATGGAGAATTATTAATACTTAGAAAGACTCCTGTCTCTACAAACAATTTTAAAAAATTACCCAGGCATGATCGTGCATACTTGTAGTCCTAGGTCCTGGGGAGGCTGAGGTGGGAAGATCTCTTGAGCCTGTGAAGGAACTAAGGGCTGCATGCAGTGAGCCATGATTGAGCCACTGCACTTTAGCCTAGGCAACGGAGCGAGATGGCATCTCAAAAAATAAAAATAAAAATAAAGAGGAGGAAAAAATAAGAAATATGACAATATATAAATAAATAGACTTTGGGATATTTTCCCCAAAAGCACTTGCAGTTCCAGAAATCAAATTACGGAATTTTAAGAACAAAGTTTGGAAAATGTTGGTCTAAATACTTAATACTAATTAGTTCCTTCTCTTTCTTCTCATCAAGGTATTTCTTTCTGCAAATTTTTTTTTCATGTTTGTTAGCCTTCTTTAGAGTTTTAAAAACACTCTCATATCCATCTTTTTGTTTTCATTTCACAAAGCCTAGCAGAGACTAGAATGCTTGCCCCCAATTCAAAGATGAGAAAACAGTCTCAAGAAATTTGAAGTTCAAGGACACAGTTCTTCTTCAGGAATTCTCTCCCAAACTCAGCATAAAAAGTTATTTTGATGTTTTAGTTATAGTATTATCTGTCTTTTCATTGGACAGCTCTGGCAGAGTAGATACAATAGGAAAAATGGAGTCTCAGAAACCCAAATTTGATTTTTTTTTTTTTTTTTGAGACAGTCTCTCTCTCTGTGGCCCAGGCTGCACCTACCAACCCGTCATCTAGTTTTTAGCCCCACACGCCTTAGATATTTGTCCTAATGCTCTCCCTCCCCTTGCCCCTCACCCCCAGACAGGCCCCAGTGTGTGATGTTCCCCTCCCTGTGTCCATGTGTTCTCACTGTTCAAATCCCACTTATGAATGAGAAACGTGGTGTTTGGTTTTCTGTTCCTGTGTTAGTTTGCTGAGAATGATGGCTTCCAGCTTCATCCATGTCCCCGCAAAGGACATGAACTCATTCTTTTTTTAAGGCTGCATAGTATTCCATGGAATGTATGTGCCACATTTTCTTTATCCAGTCTATCACTCTTGGGCATTTGGGTTGGTTCCAAGTCTTTGCTATTGTAAATAGTGCTACAATAAACTTACACGTGCATGTGTCTTTACAGTAGAATGATTTATAATCCTTTGGGTATACACCCAGTAATGGGATTGCCGGGTCAAATGGTATTTCTGAAGGAACCCATCTTCTTGATCTGCTCTTTCTGCCTCCTGCTTTCCATTTTTCACTGACTCTATAAAGTCAAGCAAATGATGACAAAACTATTTTTCATTGCTTTTCTTCTCTTCCAGTCTTTCACATACCTTCTTTGGCCTGCTTTCTCTTTGCCATTGTTTATGCATCCTTAGAAACAGTAATATACATATATAATATGTATAAAAATATATGTTACATATATAATATAGATCTTTAAAAACAGATATATGTAATATAAAATATATTACATATATTACATAACATATAACACATATATAACATATATATTATATATAACACATTATATAACATATTATAGACAACATATATGTTACTGGAATGGTAGGGTTTGAACAGAGGAAGTAGGGGTGTAAATTTGTAACCTCTTTTATACTTATTTAGTTTTTTATTGAGAGTGTAAACTGCATTTACAAAAGAGAAGGGTGATAATACTGACAGTTCCTGAATTGTTGGTCCTCAGGCAACTAATTCCTGTAAGCCTCAGTTTCTACATCTGTCAAATAGGACTCATAATTAGCATTCTCCTGGCATGCAGCTGGTGCTCACTATGCTCCCATGGAGGCTTAATTTCACTGAGATATTGTTACGCAATGGGAGAATGCACCTTGAACCCAAAATACTAAAGCCATTATTCTTTCAAATTTGTGAAACATAGTTAATAACCAATCACCTTTTGTATAAGTTCATTAAAGGCACTCTGAAAGTGCAAATATGTTTTTGATTTGAGGAACATTTTGATATAAGTGGTGAATTGACTTATAGTCAAGATCATAAAAGAAACTTTATCTACACTAAGGTACTCTGTTAAAAAGTGAAGCCAAATGTATCCAGAGAGATCTGCTAACTTGCTCAAGGCCAAACGTTACTTAGTGGCAAAACTAAAAACAGATTGTATAATTGTATGCTCTGTAAACCAGACTAGAAAGCATGACACCCTTATGTGGTAAGGAATAACAGGAATATTAATGACATGATACTTATTGATCACTATTGACAATGTTTACTTATCACTATTGACAATGATATTTATTGATCACTAATAGGCAAGGTACTGTTTTAGGTGATTTATGTGTAAAAGCTTATTGGGTATTTTAAACTTGCAAAATCAATACTATTTTGCCCCTATATTACTGGAGACCGAATAATCCAGAGTTTTCTCATTAGATGCGTCTAATTCCTTCTAAGCTGTAAATTGACTATATGTTAACAATTTTTAGTTAAGATGATATCTATAAAAATTATACTGCTTTCATACAGCAAAAAGAAAATCACTTAATTATGTTTTTACCCTTTTAAAAACATCTGATTATTTTTTGGTCAACTAACTCTATTATAAACACATCTTCTATTCGCAGATTTCTGATTTATGTCTAATTACATAATAATATGCAACATTTGCTGTTGAGCTCTATGCATCTGAGCCAAATGGATTCTCTGAAATATAGACAGACAAAGCAGAGGAGTTGGAGCACTTGCCATTTTTATTAGTGAGCTCTGAAAACAATTTCAGCATGCTGTACAGAGTTCCTTTGAATAATTAATTTTAAATGGGAAAGGCATTCTGCCTTTGGTTACATTGTTGATTATTTTTAAATGTATATGGCATTGCTGCCATTGACAATAATTTCCTGTCAAAGATTTCTGCCTTACTCTATATTCCATTTTGTCATCAAGATGTACCTATTACTATTTTTAACATAAAATGCCTATCTGTATTATTTATTTAGACATCCAATCAGAAAATATTGTATTGACTAAGGAACTTTCTAAATGGACACATTTATCTGTGTTAATATCAAATCGTGTCACATTTTATTTACAGGGATAATAGGACATGGATGGATGCCCGTTTCAGTTAAAAGTACAATATATTTCCATGTGTTTATTGGTGGTGAAGATGTTAATGGGTAGTGTAACAAGGGGAATTTTACATGACTTGGGAAATCTATGTGACATGAGAAAAAGTTAATTTCAGCCTTGCCTCATTAATCAGATCTGCCGCCAGCTAAAAATTGTCACCTCAGTATATTGTGCTTTCTGCTGTGCAGTACTAATAAAGATACTGACATACAAAACAGAAGTAATTGGGTTTGGTGCTAGGAGGAGGGGGGTTAGAATACACAGGAATGAATGGTTTATATCTGACCTTTCGGAAGAATCGCTCAAGGCACCGTGGGGCAGTTCCCGTCATTGCTAATGGAGACTGTGGATTCAAGACTGTTCTAACAGTCTTGCGTGCGAACTTCTGGGAACTGAAATGAATTACAGTGGTTCATACATACAGGCCTTCACAACGAAGCTTGCAAAACAAAGGAACTGTCAGGTCAGACCTGGTGTCTGTATACATTAAATGCTGGTGCATGGATTTACAGTTTGCGTAGACAACTACATCATTACTTCAAAGCCTTTACAAGCACAGACATTACAAAAGGCCTGGCTGTAACTCAGGAGGGACAAAAGTGCTGTGGTGATATTGACGGAACGGTTTACATGGAACACTTTTTGCAAGCATGGTTTCATTTGTCCCTACCTCAAACGGGTAGGTAGATATTATTATTCATGATATCTAAATGAGGTACAGATTTCCGAGATAGTAAGTTACACTCTTTACATGATGTGGCTGGTATCTGCATAAAAATAAATTTGAACCCTTGGACTCAAAAACTTTTTTAGATGGAGAGGTTTCATACAACTCTATTGAAGTATAATTTTCATATAATAAAATACACACATCCGAAGTGTGTAGTCCAATGAGCTTTTGCAAATACATGCATAATAAAACCACCACCATAATCAACATTTAGAACATTTCCATCAACTCAAAACATTTTCTTATGTCCCTTTGCAGGCAGTTTCTTCACAAGCCTCAGGCAATCAAGATTTTTTCTCCATAGACATATGACTTTGAGACTGTCATATGAATAGAACTATACAGAAGTGGTCTTTCATAGCCTCTTTTGTTCAATACAGCGAGTATGGAGATTCCCCAAATATTGGTACATAATGTTGCAAGCATCAACATTTCTTTTATGTTTATTGGTAATGATCTGTGTTATGTATATAGCCCAATTTATTTGTCTATGAGCCAGCTGATGGACGCTTGAGTTGTTTTCAGTTTTTGGCTATTGTGAAAAATGCTACTATAACTATTATGTACATGTGTTAGTTTGAACATGTTTTCCTTATTGGGAGGTAAATACCTAGAATTGCTGGAACATAAGGTGGGTGTACAGAACTTAGGTCATTGATTTTTTTATTCTTAAGATGATCAGACATAACCTTTAAAATGTTAAAGGTATAAGTTTCCCTCTAAACACAGCATAAGCTGCAGCTCTCACATTTTGATAATATACGCATTTATTTTCATTTCATTTGACTTATTTTCTAATGTCTCAAGTGAAATCTTCATTTACCTATTTGTTTGATTTTCAAGTATTTGCAATTTTTTAAAATTTCACATTTTTATTGAGTGTTAATTTATTTTTTGGTCAGACAACATTTAGCATTTAAATCTTTTTATATTTAATGACACTTTTCTCTCCCAGTCTATGAACTACCATGATTAAAATTCCAGGTGTACTTGCAAATAATATGTATTTTTGTGGCTGGATAGCATATTCTATAAGGGTTAATTAGATTGTATGTGGACTGTATTGTTCAAGTCTGTATATCCTTACTGATTTTTCAATTTTATTTGGTCTATTAATTATTGTGAGTGAAGTGTTAAAATATCAAACTGCAATTATATATTTTTTATTTCTGTTTTTAATTCTGTTAGTTTTTGCTTTGTGTGTTTTGCAGCCCTTTTGTGATATGCATAAACTTTGGGGATTTTTATGGTCTCTTGATAAATTGATACTTTATCATTGTGAATCATTCATCTTTGTATCTAATGCCTAATACCTTAATACCTTATATCTTGTCTATACCTTATTTCTTGATCTGAGATCTTTTCTTATAGTCACCTGAGCTTTCTCTAAGATTAGTGTTTTTCTGGTTTATCATTTCTTATACTTTAATATTTTACTTAGCTGCTTTTAACATATCTGTGACTTCACATCGAGGTCATGTCTTATACACAACATATATTTGGGTTTTACTTTGTTATCTAATTATCTAATTACAAAATCTCTGTCTTGCAATGTGTGGTTCAGCATTATAACTGCTAGCAATTTGTGGCTATTTAAATGCAAATTACCTGAAATTAAATAAAATTTTAAATTCAAAAGATAATATAGGAAAAAAATCTAAGTGACCTTGGGCCTGGCAATAAGTATATAGCTACAACATCAAAGCACATTCCATGAAAGAGAATAATTATAAGTTAGGTTTATTTAAAATTATAAACTTCTGCTCTGTGAAAACACTGCTAAAAGAATGAAAGGACAAGTCACATACAGGGAGAAAATGTTTGCAGAACTGATATCTGATAAATGACTTGCATCCAAAATATACAAATATACAAAAATTCTTAAAACCCTAACACTCCAATTAAAAGGGGAGCAAACAGCTAAACAGATATATAGATGTCAAGGAAGATATATAGATGATATATATATAGATGTCAAGGAAGATATATAGATTATATATATATATGAGATATATATATGATCTCATATATATATCATATATAGATCATATATATAGATCATATATATCATATATAGATCATATATAGATCATATATATCATATATAGATCATATATAGATCATATATATATATCTCATATATATATGAAAAGATGCTCAACATCATGTCATCAGAGAAATGCAAATTAAAACAAAACCAAGATACCACTACACACTTATTTGAATGGCTAAAATAAAAAAAAATCGGTAATACCAAATATTGGAAAGGATGTGGACCCATAGGAACTCTCATTCATTGTTGGTGAGAATACAAAATGGTGCAGCATTTTGCAAGACATTTTGGCAGCTTTTTACGAAGCTAAACATAATTTTACCATACAATTTAGCAATCAAGTTCCAAATGAGTTGAAAACTTCTGTCCATACAAAAACCTACACACAAATGTTTATAAAGCTTTGTTCATAAAAGCCAAATATTGGAAGCAACCAAGATGCCCTATAATAGGTGGATGGATATATCAATTATGGTACATTCATATAAGGGAATATTATTCAACAACAAAAGGAAATGAACTGACAAGCTATGAAAAGAGCTGGAAGGATCTTAAATGCATATTGCTAAGTGGAATAAGCCAGACTAAAAGGGCTACATGCTATATGATTTTAAATATGTGGCATTTTAGAAATGGTAAAATTATAAAGACAGACAAAATAACAGTGGTTACTGGAGATTGGGAAGTTTGGAGGGAGGAACGAATAAGCCAATAACTGGAGATTTTTATGGCAGTGAAACTATTTTGTATGATATTATAATGGTGAATATATGACACTATGCATTTGTCAAAACCCACAGAACTATACAGCACAAAGTGAACCCCAATGTAGACTGTGAATTTTAGTTAAAATTGTGTATTGCTATGGTTTAAATGTTGATATCCCCCTAAAATTTATGTGTGGAAACCTAATGCCCAATGTGATAGTATTAAGAGAGGGGTCCTTTGGGAAGTGGTTAAGTCATGAGGGCTCCACCCCCATGAATGGGATTAGTGTCCTTATAGAGACTCCAGGGAGTTCCCTTGCTCCTCCGTCATGTAAGCACACAGAAGGTGCCATCTATGAGCAACAGGCTTTCACCAGACTCCAAGTCTGCTGGAGCCTTGATCTTGCACTCTCCAGGCTCCAGAACTGTGAGCAACACATTCTTGCTATTTACAAATTACCTAGTTGAAGATATTTTGTTATAGCAGCAAGAATGGACTAAGACAGGTATTGATTTGATTCACCAATTATAGCAAATGCACCACACCAATATAAAATATTAATAATTGGGAAAATTATGAGCAGAATGAGAAGGAGTATGTGGAAACTCTCCTTTTTCTGTTCAATTTTGCTGTAAAATTACATATGTTTAAGAAACAAAGTCTATTAAAAATGTAGTTCCTTTCTTATGCAAACCATATTTCAATCAATAGTCACACTGTATTGGACACTGCAGATGTAGAACATTCTAATCATCTCAGAAAGTTCATTTGAAAGACACTATTAGACCATTAGCATTTAATGTGTTTATCAATATGGTTGGCTTCAGTCTACCACTTTGCTATTTGTTTCTGTTTTCCCTTCGTTCTTTTTTTCTCTTTCTGTGCATTTTTTCTTTACCTAATGGGGCATATTTGTAATTCATTTTATTTTCATTGTTAATTAGCTATTATTTTGTGTTAAGTGGCTTCTCTACAGTTAACAATATAAATCTAACTTTCCACAGTCTATTTTCAGATAATAGTATGCCATTTAACATACAATGTACAACTTAGAAAAATATAGCTTACAATCAAAGTTTATCATAATGAATTTTATGTACAACTTACAATGTACTTCTATTCCATCCACACCTATTTGCACTATTGTTGTCATATATTTTACTATTTTCTATGTTATAAGCCTCATAATATATTCTTATTAGTTTTGCTTTAAAGATTTACATATATATATATTTTAATTTTTTTTTCAGTAATGCTACTTCATTGCTTGATTTCATTCCAAGAAAGAAACACAGCATACAATTACAAAGTGGGTTTGTGTCCTGGATGATAAGAACTGACTATGTGCATTTTCTCAGTTTTATTTTTATTTTTGGAGACAGAGTTTTGCTCTGTCACCCAGGCTGGAGTGCAGGGGCGCGATCTTGGCTCACTGCAACATCTGCCCCCCGGGTTCAAGCGATTCTCCTGCCTCAGCCTCCTGAGTAGCTAGGATTACAGGCGTGCCATCATGTCTGGCCAATTTTTTGTATTTTTAGTAGAGATGGAGTTTCACCATGTTGACTAGGTTGGTCTCAAACTCCTGACCTCAGGGGATCCGCACACCTTGGCTTCCCAAAGTACTGGTATTACGGGCCTGAGCCAGCACTCCCAGACTCAGTTTTATTTTGACAGGAACAATGTCTCATGGTCTTTGTATCGCAGCTTAATGTTTTGGAATTATATAGTGGTGATAGTTGTACAGTTTTGTGACTATACTAAAAATCACTATTATACACTTCAAAGGGGGGTGAATTTTACATAGATTAGATCTGAATACTTTTAAAAACACTTCTGCAACATTGTATGCTAAAATTATATTTTAAAAAATTGTAGTGAGGAAAATTATGTTTTATTCATCCACATTCATCTTTTGTGTTCTTCATTCCTATTTCCTGCTTTCATATACTTTCTGCATTATTTTTTCCATATTCTGTAATATTCTGATGACATACTTTTGCAATTTAAAAAAAGTCTCTTGGGTAAAAAATTCTCTCAGCTTTTGTTGTCTAAGAAATTGTTAGTTTTGCCTTTAATTTTAAAGGCAATTTTAATGAACTATAGAATTCGAACACCCTTTTTTCTTCTAGCATTTTAAATACATTTTTCCATTATCATGAACTGTTTCTGAGAGGATTATAATTTTTCTTTTTATTCTGTGCTAAATGTTTTCTTCTTCTTTCTGGGTTCTTATAAGATATTGTCTTAATCTTTGATTTTATTTTTTTTTTATTTTTTGTTTTAGACAGAGTTGTGCTCTTGTTGCCCAGGCTGGAGTGCAATGGCACGATCTCAGCTCACTGCAAACTCCGCCTCCCAGATTCAAGCAATTCTCCTGCCTCAGCCTCCCAAGTAGCTAGGATTACAGGCATACACCACCACCCCCGGCTAATTTTGTATTTTTAGTAGAGATGGGGTTTCTCCATGTTGGTTAGGCTGGTCTCGAACTCCCGACCTCAGGTGATCCACCTGCTTTGGCCTCCCAAAGTGCTGGGATTACAGGCATGAGCCACTGCACCCGGCCTAATCTTTGATTTTCATGAATCTGAATATAATGTGTCTTCCTGCAATCTTCTTTGTTTTTATTCTTCATAGGTTTTCCTGAGCCTCTTAGATGTGTGATATTTTAGTATTAATTATAATTGGAAAACTTTTAACCTTATCTCCTTCTCCGTTTTGCCTGGTACCTCAAATATATGTAGGTTAAACCACTTAATATGGTCATATGGTCCCAATAGTCACTGATGCTCTATATTTTTTCTTCCACTTTTTTCTTTTCTTTTTTCTTTTTTTTTTTTTTTTTACATAACTAGTATTTTCTTCTGCAGCATCTAAGCTTCAGTTTAGTGCATTTAAAGAATTTTTAATCTGACATATAGTATTTTTCATTTCTCCAAGTACCTATTTACTTTATAGCTTGCATTTCTTTCTTCTTTACATTTATGTTTTATTTTTAATCATTGCATATATTCATAACTTTTAAAATCCTTATCTTCTAGTTATACTGTGCCTGTCGTTTCTGTGTCTGTGTCCATTGACTGATTTTTCTCCTAGTTACTGGTCATATGTTATTCCTTCTTCAGGTGTCTTATAGTGTTTTGGTAAACTTTCTTATTTACACACTTATTTACCATTTCTGATGGGCTTTATTTTTATATGCCAACTGGACTATTTTTCCATATTATGAAGAACTTTCTTAATATTTTTAAAATATAAGTCCTTTTATAAAAATTACTCTCTCAGTTTTGGTCTGAAATATTTTTTCTGTCTGGATATTGTGAGTATTATGTTTCTAAATGCTAGATTTTGTTGTTTTTCTTTAAAATCTTTTGATTTAGTTCTGGCAGACAGTAAACAGTAAATTTTCATTAAGCAGATCAGCTCGATCCTTTTGAAATTTATTTTTAAGCTTTTTTAAGGACTGCACAGACAAGACTTTATTGCTAGCTTTTCTCTAATCCTCAGGAATGAGTCAGAGGGTGGGGGGCAGATCAACTAAATACTCTGAGGGTTCAATGAGGTTTTCTCGCTCTGACTTTCAGAACTGAAATTTTTTCCAGCCCTGTTCAGATATGTGGGAATTTTTAAACATGCAGATCTGTAGTAATTATTTTCCTAGGATACCAGGTCACAAACATATTACCTCTCTTTAATGTCCAGCTCAGCTGAGAGTCTTCAGAAACTTTCAAAAGGAATAGAACTAGTTTGTACAACCTGAAGCTTATATCATCTGGATTCCTTTTCAAATTGCAAAATAAAAATTAGGTAAGGAAGTATGAGTTTTAGGATGTGAAAATAAGTCATTAAAAGCTAAAAGGTTAATATACTGACAAATATTATTGACATTACTGAATCCATGAAGTAGCATAATACATTAAATACTACTTTAAAATTTTACCTACCATTTCATCTGTGTACTTTGACCACCTCATTATATAACATATTTTTGATAGCATCAGTGAGATATAATTAATATGTCATATCGATTTAATGTATACAATTCAATAGTTTTTATTATGTTCTCAAAGTTACACAACCATTATTATAATCAATTTTAGAACAACTTCAGCACCCTCCAAAGAAATCCACTACCTACTAGCACTGTCTTCCCAAATCTCCCCCACTTCTCTGTCCATGGGCAACCACTATAGATTTGCCTATTTCACATTTTTATATAAATAGAATCATACAATATGTGGTCTTTTGTAACTAGCTTCTTTCACATAGCATAATATTTTTAAGATTCATCCATGACTTAGCATGCATCAGTTCTTCATTCTTTTTTTGCCAAATAAGAATACCACATTATTTAAGCCATTCATCAGCTTATAAACATTTGGGTTATTTCCACTTTTTGGCTGTTATCATAATGCTGCTATTAATATTCATGTACACGTTGTGTGTAGACATATGTTTTTATTTCTCTTGGGTACATACCTAGGAGTGAAATTGTTGGCCCATATGGTAACTCTATGTTTAACATCTTTAGGAGACTGTAAGACGGTTTTCAAAAGCTGCTGTATAATTTTACTCCCACAAACAGTGTGTGAAGGTTCTGACATCTTCATATACTCACAAGAATTTGTGATTGTCTTGTCTTTCTGATCATTATAGTGGGTGTAAAGCAGTATCTCATTGTGGTTTTGATTTGCATTTCCCTGATGATCAGTGATGTTGAGCATCTTTTCATGTGCTGAATGACCATTTATGTATCTTATTCAATGACACATCTATTCAGATAACATATGTTAATATTTTTATATAGAAAGAACAGACATCACCAATTATATATTCTAGCATATTTGATTTTTTAATTGATATTTGGGATGTATAAAACATGAAGTTTCAAATGTAAACATCTTGCTGCATGGAATACTGCTACCTGTTTTCATCCTCAGATTCAGGGATTCTAATAAATTGCATCCCATGTGGTTTATACCAAATTATCTATCCATGTGTCTACCTATTTTTCATTCTATATATTTAAATATTAATACTAGATTCCTAATAGAAGAGAGGATTCATTTAACCAGACATTGGTGAGAATTGAATTTTGTACTTCCATTTTGTATTATAGTGTTTGAGTAATTTAATATTTCATGGACTAGCTTCTGGATCCACATATTTACAACCTTTCCTCTCCCCCGTGCCCACACACTTTGAGTGCTAGGATTCATAAGCTCCATTCATATTATGATATAGCATTTGTCCCTTCACCTTTGTGGGGTAATGTCAGACAAATCAGCAAAGTTTGCATAAGGAATATTCCTGGAAGCTATTCCTATAATAGAAAGCCAAAACTAGCCTAATTGTATTCTGACACAATGGTAAATCACATAAATACATTCTATTTATATATAAATTAAATAAATTCTCAATTCAATTTCCCCTTAGATGGATGACAACAGAGAGTTTAATACTACCTGACGTGAGATAAAGTGTGATGCAGGACAAGTCAGAACAGAAAGAGAAATGATCTTAATCAATTGTGGTCAAAATATTTTCATTTTAAGCATTTTACAAAATTGTAAGACAATGTGATAATACTGCAGAAAAATACTGACACAGACATATTCTATATGTCCTAGTACTAGAAGTATGTGGGCAATGAGCAAGAAATCCAGACTATTCCAAGAACTTATTAAATATCAAGACTTTTTTTTAATGCATCTGACCCCCAGGAATGACCACAGTCCCTAAAATATTATTGACACCCAAATGAACAATGAGTTTGGTTTATGTTTTATTTAAAAGAACTCAAAGATAGGGGCTTCTTATCAGAAAGCAGGACAGAAGCAATATCCAGATTAACTCCTTTTAAATTACAATTAACATAAAGAAAGTGAAAAAAATATGCATATTCTGTTGAATATTTACTATATGCCAACCAAATTATTAGGCATTTTACTCACATATTTGATCTTAGAACTTCATGAATATTGTTAATGTTGTTTTGTTGTGGTTTTTATTGCTAGTATTATTATTATTTCATCATCATATTTTACTATTTTAATTATATGACAAGAAAATTATGGACAAAGAGATGAAACAACTTGCTCAATGTCTCCTAACTTACATGCTATGGAGCAAAATTCATGAATATCTCTCACTCAAAAGCCAATGTTCAAAAGAATGTGCAGTGAAACTTACACTTTTTTCTTCAAAGTCCAACAAATATACCAAAAAGTAGATGAATACATTTGTAGTTTAACAAATAATTATAATGAAAAAATTCTATATAACCATTATTTAAGTCAAGAAATTGATTATTGGAAGTTCTCATATACTTTTACCTGATAGACTCATTGCTTCCCGATAAAAGTAAACATCATCATGAATTTTGTAATAATTTATTTTTTTCTTTCTTGATTTATCAATGATAAACAAATAGTATATTGGTTGTATATTATCTATAAGTGATTTATTAATCTACTAATATAGTATACATTTTACTATTTTAAACTTTACATAAGTGGAATCTTTATATATTTATACTCTATGCCTTCCTTCTTTTGCCAGTCTAAAGTAAACGAGAGTTATTTTGTGATAGGTAACTAAAGTTATTCATTTTCAATGCTATCTTATACCAAATTTATGTAAATATATCAACATTTATTCACACATTCTACTGCTGATGAATCTTTTGGCCCTTGCTTGGCCATTATAGAAATTGTTATGAGCATTCATGTACATATACTGTCGTATAGGTGCAAAACTTTCTCGAAAGGATGTCGTTAGGAATGATGGATCAAAGATTAAACATGTACAAAGTTACTAGATCATGTCAAACTCTTCCAAAATGATTGTGAATGATGGCAACTGTTTTTCTTCCTTTTCTCCTCCACTCCATTTCTTCCTTCCCTTCCCCCTTCCCTTCCTTCCTTCCCTTCCCTCCATTTCTTCCTTCCCTTCCTTTTTCTTTCTTTTCTTCCTTCATTCCTTCTTTCCCTCCTTCCTTCCCTTCCTTCCTTCTCTTTCTTTTCTTCCTTCATTCCTTCTTTCCCTCCTTCCTTCCCTTCCTTCTTTCTTTCCTATCTTCCTACCTTCTTTTCTCCACAGAAATCATTTTCTCATTACCATTGTTTTTATAACTGCACCATCACCTGTTGAGAAATCCCTCTTATTGATGGTGTCCTCTTTGTCAATTAGTGTGCCCCATCCCAAGTGGATGGAGTACAGAAACCAACATAAATCAATTAGACATCAATTTGCAAGTGAGTGGAGCTGTTGCCTCTTGGATTACATGCCAAAGGGACAAGATTTATGGATGTTGGTAGAACTCCTCTCCATCACATAGAGAGGTTGGGTCTTTTCTGCTTTAGAAGAAGATGAGCTCAATAGAAGCACAAACAAAAAAACCAAAAGCAATGGCAACAAAAGCCAAACTCGACAAATGGGATCTAATTAAACTAAAGAGCTTCTGCACAGCAAAAGAAACTACCATCAGAGTGAACAGGCAACCTACAAAATGGGAGAAAATTTTCACAACCTACTCATCTGACAAAGGGGCTAATATCCAGAATCTACAATGAACTCAAACAAATTTACAAGAAAAAAACAAACAACCCCATCAAAAAGTGGGCAAAGGACATGAACAGACACTTCTCAAAAGAAGACATTTATGCAGCCAAAAAACACATGAAAAAATGCTCACCATCACTGGCCATCATAGAAATGCAAATCAAAACCACAATGAGATGCCATCTCACACCAGTTAGAATGGCAATCATTAAAAAGTCAGGAAACAACAGGTGCTGGAGAGGATGTGGAGAAATAGGAACACTTTTACACTGTTGGTGGGACTGTAAACTAGTTCAAACATTGTGGAAGTCAGTGTGGCAATTCCTCAGGGATATAGAACTAGAAATACCATTTGACCCAGCCATCCTATTACTGGGTATATACCCAAAGGACTATAAATCATGCTGCTATAAAGACACATGCACACGTATGTTTATTGAGGCATTATTCACAATAGCAAAGACTTGGAACCAACCCAAATGTCCAACAATGATAGACTGGATTAAGAAAATGTGGCACATATACACCATGGAATATTATGCAGCCATAAAAAATGATGAGTTCATGTCCTTTGTAGGGACATGGATGAAATTGGAAATCATCATTCTCAGTAAACTATCACAAGAACAAAAAACCAAACACCGCATATTCTCATTCATAGGTGGGAATTGAACAATGAGAACACATGGACACAGGAAGGGGAACATCACACTCTGGGGACTGTTGTGGGGTGTGGGGAGGGGGGAGGGATAGCATTGGGAGATATACCCAATGCTAGATGACAAGTTAGTGGGTGCAGCGCACCAGCATGGCACATGTATATATATGTAACTAACCTGCACATTGTGCACATGTACCCTAAAACTTTAAGTATAATAATAATAAAAAAAGAAAATATTTCTAATAAAATGTTTTACTCCTGTAAAAAAAAAAAAAAAAAAAAGAGAGAGAGGCAGACAGAGAGATGGAGACAGGTCTGAGTACCTAATTCTAGTTCTTGATATTCTATTATGTACAGTTTTTACTTTGTAGTGGGAAGTCCAAAATGGTCTTTAAACCACAGTCAGCCCACAGGAACACTCATTCAGCTGGGTGACACTGTGGTGTAAAATGTGGAACTTCATCACATAATGCAAGAATCTCTGAGATGAGTTGAAAAGGAAGTGCGTTCAGAGTGAAAATGTGAGCTCTTCTAGAATGTTCCAATAAACATTCTTATGCTAATGTGAGTTGCATTTCTGACACTTGAAACGGACCCAAAATTCCTAATATATATGCAGTGTCAAATATGTTCAATAGATACAACCAGATTGAGATAATGTATATTTCTTGAACATCTGTCATATGTTTTCATGAGACCAAAAGCATTTTCTGTAAGGTGAAAAGAGGGAAGGACAGTGAGAATATCTTGAAGGCATTGCTGTCTCTTATTCAAGAGAGACCTACAGACTATTTCGCACATATTCATACTTCACAAATTACCACAAGGAAGACTAAGTTGACAGCCCATGCTGTATATTACAACTAGGAGTGATTGACCTTATACATGAATGAGTCATAATTTAGAAATTTGGACAACATCCTAGGCAGCAACAGAGGTGATATTACAATCTGCACCATTTGAAGAAACGATGAACAATGACTACAACAGCGAGTATATACATACAGAGACAACATATGAAAAATAGTTGTTTAAACTAAGGATGGGTGTACTGGAGAAAATCCAGGAAGGGATTTTTCTAACATCCAAAGGCTGCAGAAAGAATAGTGTGTAATTTAATTGGATACACTAAAACTACTACATAGAAGAAACATAAAGTCTGGATATTTATTAATTTTTATAATTGAACGATTGCAATGTTCCTACAACCCCATCATTAACATAGTATTTGATGTGAATCTTAAACATACAATGAATATACATGGTCTTCTAGGTGACTCCTAAACATATGATGAACAGGGTCATGTGAGTATAGCGGCAACATTATATAGGACACAAACTCTAGAGAAAGACCATTTGGTCTAAACATTGGCTCTGCTAAGCTGTGCTATCTCAGAAACATTTTAAATACCTCTGTTTTTTTTCAGATGGTTTTTATAAAAATTGAGTTACTACAAGTGAAGTTCAATAAAAAGTTCTCTCATATACGAGGTGCTCAGTAACTGTTCTTTTTTTACCTTCTCATCCTCTTGTTCCTGTCATCATTATCATTATTTCACTCTTCTGTTTTAACTTTTCAAAGTCTTCTTATCACCTATAAGATAGATTCCAAGCCCCTTTTATATTATCTTGTTATATAACGTCTGACTTTTCTCTCTGGCCAAATTACTTCTCATCTCTACCTCCCCCATTCTATCTTTAATTTTCCACACCACTTCCAGTTACCCTGAAATGTTTTTCTTTGCAGATGCTGGGTTATACCCCACCTCCTTTATTTTACTTTATTTTGCCATACACTAGTTGGACATTATTTTTTCTATTAAATATTTAGGGAAAAGATGAACCCTACCATCAACTGTGCTAAATCTATGTCTGACATAAAATTCTAATATGGAACGTGTTATAGTGTATGATGTTGGATTTTAAGTCTTTTCCAAGAGTGGATTGCAAACCCTTAAAAGAGAAGGACTATGTCTCTTTTACCTAGGATAGCATTTGACTCATTGAATATACTCATTTAATGCAAAGCTTGCTGAACTAAGAAAAGTTTAACAAGAAAAAAAAAGTCTCACAAATAGAAGTATACATCCTTAGGATGCTCTCACAATGACTCCCCAATACCTTATCATCCCATAGTCTGAAGTCAAATGACACCTTAAGGAGTCCATCTCATTCTGTATTTCAGACACTTTCTTTCACAGATCTTAGGTGTCTTTGCTATACTAATTTATTTACTTGTCTGGGGATTGCTTACTTGGCTTTTTTTTATGTGTTTTGTTTTTGTCTTTCTCAATTATTTTAAGCTACCTAGGGAGTAGAAAATGTTAATTATATCCCCCACTCTGAGGTTAGGCAAACTCAAAGTAGACACTCAATGAACAGTTGTTAAATTTAAAATTGAATATTGATATACATAGCCAAGCACAGACATAACCACTTGTCAAATATATCTTGGAAATTGATTCAGCGATGGTGTGGAAATTTGGAAGATGTTACCAAACCCTAACATTTTTCTTCAGTGCAACATAGAATCACCCTCCTGAATCCTAGCACCACAGAATGTGTGAGCAAGAACATGCTGAAATGTGTGTTATGCAATTCAGCCAACTCCAATGCTGCCCCCAGTACATTTCCCTTTTGCCAATTACAGAACTCATCTGTTCTCTTTGCCATGTAGTTATTGAGCTTTTCTTGGCCTGGCGTGCCACTCAGGGCCAGCCCAGGCATTAAGTTGACTGTCTGGCCTTCATTAGCTGCATCTAATTCATTCCCCAGAAAACACCCCCAGGCCATAAAATGCATCTGTGTGTTGTTTTTATTAGGTCATCTGATTGAGCAGATGCTGATGGCTCTAAAAAAGGAGTATTTCCCCTGCCAACCTTAATTTGTTCTGTTTCCATTGCAGGCAGGACCCATCAATAGTGCTATTTCTGTGTTTTCATGTACTATTTCAGACCACATAGTTATTTCTGTATTAGAATATCTAAAGTGCAGAGCTATTTTTGAGAGTCACCTGATGACTCTTCTTTAACATGCCACTGATTCAGAGATTCCATAAGCATTTTGCTAACGTCCTCAGTCCCATGTCATACTACACTGTCTCCACTAGACTTTTCCAAACAGGGATTGCTGCCCACATGTTATCAATGTCACCAACGGGCCTTCTCCCTTAAAAGATTCTCCAACTATGAAACAAGTTGGCTTAGGATTTCTATAGCAAGCGATCTCGCTAAACACAGGATCTCATAATTCCAGGCTTAAAAGGGACGCAACTTTTTTTTTTCTCATTGCCAGTCCCTTATGATGCTTAAATTCCCTCTAATATTTCCCAAATATAGATGTCCAATCTCTTCCTGAGTGATTGCATTGATCTCCCTTTTTAAAGGCTGTTTATTAATTTTTGACATGGGAAGGGTATAAAGGCAGAGATGCTCACTTTTCAGATTTCCTTTTTGTATGCTGAGGTAAAAACTGCCTGTCTTTGACTTCCTTTCACTACCACTCCTGACGTATCAGAATAGCCACATTATTGTCCTTTCAATAGTAACAGCTACCCTCACCCAAAATTCTGTTCATCTCATTTCCTAGCTATTGCCTACTTTGCCTCAGATGTAGTGATAAGACAATTCATAGCCCCAAACAGGCATGGAAAATCCTATTTATGAGTGAAAATTCTTCTCAGTGAGATAGTAGTTATGACTAAGTGCAAGTTAAAGCAATGATTAATTTGAAAAAGCCGTGGAATTCTTGCTTTTTTGTTGACAGGATATTGGAAGACTAGAACGCCGCCCTTACCCTCGGAGGTGCCATCTACTTTCTCTAAATCTCACACTGATGTTCAAGGCTTGGGGCTTATATTTCACTCCATTTCCCTTTTCCAAATTTCATCGGAAATAGGCAAAAGGTGGCTGATATTCAAAAGGATGCCAATGGGCAAGGAGGAGAAAAGAAAAGGAGCCAGATCAATTGTACCTCCATTTTCATTCTTGTAGAGAGGGTCAGCAGCCCCAGATCCTTTAACCAGCTGGTTTACGCTGGAGGTTAAAATCTTCCTCAGGATTTAGGCCTTCACAAAGCTGCATTAGTTATTTCAGGCCACTCGGTCTTGTACTGTATTAGTGCTTTGTTAATTGGTATCCTAGTGGCTTAAAAACGTCATATAAATCCAGTGAAATCTGTGTGCAGTCAGCACGCCTTGAAAAAAAATTCAATGTGGCAAGTAGCTCAAAGCCCCTGAGGATCGATAGGAGTTATCTGGGCAGAGATTTCATTGTATTTATATTACACACCTTGCCTCCTTCAGGCTGTTGCCTGGTTTTCTTGATCTGACATGTGGGACTGAGGACAAAGCCAAGGTCAAAAACCAGGAGGTAAGCTGAAGGCCGGAGGCATTTTGCATGCCTGTGACTAGCATGACCAAACCTCAGGAAGAGTCTCAGATGCTTCTGAGTCACTGCCTCAATCCCAATACTATTTAGCAAGAGAAAAGGCCATTTTTATTGAGGTTGTGTGGCAGCAAATCTAGCAAGAAACACACTCACTTTATATGACACGATTTTTTCTTTATTATTTTAGACTGCAATATGTCTTTCCATAATCAGGTCAGATCAATTCATATTGGTTCTCAATTTCCTCTCCAACCTCTTATAAGATGTGATGGACAATGACTGTGAGAAGGAGAAAAATAAGAAGTGAAAGAATTGACTTAAATTTACAAGACAGACAGACTCTGAGTATATTAAATTATATACATGAAAATAGATAGTAATAAAATACAAGGGTCAAATGGATTCAATGAGGAGAGGAGTTGAATCTTGGTGTTTAAATCCATGAGAGAAATCAGCCACAAATAGGCAGATCCTTTAAAAATATTTAAGTTTACAGGTTGTTTAATGATTACCACTTTTTCCTAATGGTGCAGTCTTTTTGCGATATTGCAAAAGATAGCTAAATATCTAAATATCTGTTTAACAAACAGAAAAGATTAATGACACCAGATAAGTAAGGATAGAATATGTTTTTAACTGATTTCAAAAGCCTCATCTTTTTGTATTTATTTCCTACTCTAAAACCTGCAGTGACTTCCATTCCCTATGGCTGCGCTGTCTAATACCGTAGTCAATAGCCACATGAGGCTAACGAGCACTAAAAATGTAGTTAGTGTGATGGAGGAACTGAATTTGGCATCTGAATCTAGATGAGCTGTAAGTGCAAAATGCACATAGAAAGTAAAAAAATATGAAAAAGAATATTATACAAATAACATTTCATACAGATTACAAATTCAAATAATACAATTTTAGATATATTGAATTCAAATACATTAAAATTTATTTTACCTATTTATTTTGCTTTTTAAATGTGACTACTAGAAAACTCAAAATTAAATATGTGGCTTGCATTATTTTTTAATTGAACAATGCTGCTGTGAAGCATAAGTCTGAACTTTCATCTGACTTTTTAAAGCCTTCTAAGATTGGGTAGCCACATAAGCTACAATTCATTCATTCATAAAACACTTACAGGAGCATTTGCTCTATTCCAGGCCCTAGAACAGTTTGTGGAATTCAGAGAAGAGATGAAGGCTGGAGATATAGAGTTTGGAGGTATCAGTTTGCATAATTAAAATCTTAGCAATAGACGATGGTGCCCAGGGAAAGTGAGTAGTGAATAAAGAAACTATAATTCAAAACTAAAAAATAATTGAAATTGATTTAAAAAAGGGAGAAGGAGAGTCTCCAAAAGCAACTGAGAAGGAATAGAAAGATCTTTAGGAAGAGATCAAGGGGAGAAGTACGCCAAATCTGGACTTACTGAGAAGGATCAGTAAGTTTATAGGGAGTAGAGCATTCTTTAGTTGCAACTAATATTTAGCTTTAAATTCATGGTGATGATGTTGTTGTGAAAAAAAAATCATTCATATTTGGAAAATCCAATTCAATGAGCTTTATAGAGCATATCCTTAGCTTGTACCAAGGTCTGAGACATACAGACACTAATAGGCACAATCTCAGTCTAATAATTTTCTAGTTTAGCCAGGAAGATATGTTAGCATTGAAACAACTAAGTTAGAGTGAGAATGAGATAGTCCCTAGGATAAGTGTGCAATCAGACAAGGGAGGGGAAAATCCCCACTGGAAACTAAGAGGAAATGCTTTTGGATGCAAATAAAGAGCATCTTGAAGAATGACCACAATTTCAGTGGTCAGTTGAAATGGAAAGCACAAAACTCTTCCAATTCCTGAGGTGCCTGGATGTATGTAGATTTGGGTTGCAGACTAATGACAAATCCAGCAAGGTCTTAAATACTTCCAAGGAATTTTGTCAGAAATTAAAAGGAAAATGATGGATAATCTAAGAGTTGAGAAAAAATGAAACCTAAAAATTATTGCAATAATATTTGCTGATATAACTTCTGCCTGGTCATGGCAAGCATGACTGCAAATGTTCAAGATTCAGAGTCAGAGGGGAAATAAGAACTAAGACAATACTGAATGTTTCAGTGGATATTTAGAATCTCTTTAATTAGATGAATGTCATTGTGCAGGTGGTCTACTGGAAGAAGGGAAATAAAAGTTTGTTAATACAGACATCTGTGAGGAACACTGACTGTTCTTTGAGGGAGTAACCTGGAAAATTTGAAAATGAAACCCCTCCCAGTAGCCTGGTCTCGGCTCTATGAAGACTGATTTACCAACATGTACAGTGGACCTCTGAGGAAAGAAGCAGCCATTTCAGAGCCCTTAATGTGAATGCATAGGCTGTGATTATTAGGAAGTGTTAAAAGCACTGGCTGGCAGCTTAGATAAACAAGAATTTGAACCATCACAAATAACCAGGGGGAAGTGGCATTTGTTAGTATTCTGGAAGATGTTAAATCCATAGCAAATGAAAGTCTTAGCATTGACTGTTTCAGGCAACTTAGCCGTAACCTCAATGCTAAAAAACAGAACACATAGAGGAGCGTTACCAATATTTATCAAGCTTCCCCTTTATGTCTGACATTTTCAAGTGGATTGACTCATTTTATCATATGAAGTAGTTGTATTAAAGCATTCTTCAGCCCCACCCCGCAAAAAAAAAAAAAAAAAAACAGAAAACAAAACAAAAAAAACCCTGACAAAACAAGACATGGGGAAAGGATTCCCTATTTAACAAATGGTGCTGGGAAAACTGGCTAGCCATATGTAGAAAGCTGAAACTGGATCCCTTCCTTACACCTCATACAAAAATTAACTCAAGATGGATTAAAGACTTAAATGTTAGATCTAAAACCATAAAAACCCTAAAAGAAAACCTAGGCAATACCATTCAGGACATAGGCATGGGCAAGGACTTCATGTCTAAAACACCAAAAGCAATGGCAACAAAGGCCAAAATTGACAAATAGGATCTAATTAAACTCAAGAGCTTCTTCACAGCAAAAGAAACCACCATCAGAGTGAACAGGCAACATACAGAATGGGAGAAAATTTTTGCAATGTATTCATCTGACAAAGGGCTAATATCCAGAATCTACAATGAACTCAAACAAATTTACAAGAAAAGAAACAACCCCATCAACAAGTGGGCGAAGGATATGAACAGACACTTCTCAAAAGAAGACATTTATGCAGCCAAAAGACACATGAAAAAATGCTCATCATCACTGGCCATCAGAGAAATGCAAATCAAAACCACAATGAGATACCATCTCACACCGGTTAGAATGGCGATCATTAAAAAATCAGGAAACAACAGGTGCTGGAGAGGATGTGGAGAAATAGGAACACTTTTACACTGTTGGTGGGACTGTAAACTAGTTCAACCATTGTGGAAGACAGTGTGGCGATTCCTCAAGGATCTAGAACTAGAAATACCATTTGACCCAGCCATCCCATTACTGGCTATACACCCAAAGGATTATAAGTCATAAAGACACATGCACATGTGTGTTTATTGCAGCACTATTCACAATAGCAAAGACTTGGAACCAAACAAAATGTCCATCAATGATAGACTAGATTAAGAAAATGCGGCACATATACACCATGGAATACTATGCAGCCATAAAAAAGGATGAGTTCATGTCCTTTGTAGGGACATGGATGAAGCTGGAAACCATCATTCTCAGCAAACTATCTCAAGGACAAAAAACCAAACACAGCATGTTCTCACTCATAGGTGGGAATTGAACAGTGAGAACACTTGGTCACAGGAAGGGGAACATCACATACTGGGGCCTGTTGTGGGGTGGGGGGAGTGGGGAGGGATAGCATTATGAGATATACCTAAAATAAATGATGAGTTAATTGGTGCAGCACACCAACATGGAACATATATACATATGTAACAAACCTACACATTGTGCACATGTACCCTAGAACTTAAAGCTTAATAATAAAAATAAATAAAAATAATAATTAAAAAACAAAACAAAGAAAAAAAACTGTCAGTCTGAAGTTGAACTCAATTCTGAAGTGGCTCCAAAGTCCTTGCAATGCCTTGTCAATGCTAAGTCATTTTCTTTTTTCTTTCTTATGGAGAGCTAGAGGAAAAGATGGAAATACATAATTTATTCTTTACCAATTATATGCAAGATATGCTGGTGCTGGTGTCCCTGATATACATAATTTACTTAATCTGAACAACTTTAATTGATGCAAAGTGTTAGGTGTTTGCTCCATCCTATCCTTCTACGTGATGAATTTGGGAGGTTAGCGAGAATGTACTCAGAGATAAATGAGTTAATCAGGACTTTTCTCAGCTTCTTTTGGAGGTCTTGCCATAAAAGCAGGCTGGGAAGTAGACTAATGTTCTACTTTAATGGCTTCCCAAATCCTGCTACATTTTAAAGTCACCTGGGGAGCTTTTTAAATAGCTCTCATGCTAAGATTCCACACCCCGAGACATTCTGATTTGATTGGGCTGTGGAGGGCACACTGGTACTATTGAAAATTCCCCCCAGGGGTCTGGGACACAGCCAGAGTAACTCAATAATATCAGAGTTAAGAGGGGGGAGTGGTCAAAATCACATTAATACCAGGAACATACTTTTCTTATTTGGAAATAGACTGTATTGTCTTCTGAGCAAAGAAATGTTGACTCTGTCTAGATCAGTCTCTTCCTCAAAATTTCAGGAAGAATCTGACCACAACCATGAATGGGCAGAGACTTGACTGCATGTGTAGCTTTTGCACTCTTTCCACCATGCAGGACCACACTCTACAAAGCCCTAGAAGTCTGGGCAGAGTCTGCACTCCATTAGCATGGTGTTCAGGCTGGACATGATAGGATTTACCTGATTCAAAGATTACAAAATGGCCAGGAGTCCTTTCTCAGTTCATGAGAAGTTGAGTTTCTCTGGGGAAGAAGAAAAGTGTTCTTAAATAAGAGTAGATGAAAGAAGAGGCAGGAGAAGATTAGAGAACTATAGGGCATTAGAGGATGGAGGATGGTCCATATGGATAAACTTCAGAAACCTAAGATATGGTGTATGATCCTCCTCCTCCACCCATCTTGGGTGTCACAAGGGATGAGTAGAGTTAGACCCAAGAGTTTTTTTTTTTTTTTTTTTTTTAGTTAATCTTTTACCTGCATTGATTTGAGCATGCTTCAAGCACTTTAAGTAAAAGAATGTATAAGTCTGTGTTGGTGGGTACTGTTTGACATAAGGGCAAAGTCCATAGAAGTTCTACGGAAGCTCAGGATGGACTTCAGATCACTGAGTTTGAGGCTGTCTCATAATTACCATGTGGATGTTGAAATGAAGCAGAAGCCATGAGGTAAATTTCCCTGGCCCATTCCTCATGGTACAATGAGAAATACCCATCCTTGAAAAAGACACCAAGGTACTGTAGCTGTCAGGCAGATCACAGTGTCCCTATCTAACAAGGCTCAGAGAGGTCGGACAGCTTGCCTAGGTTACTACACTAAGTGGCTGAGCCAAGACTCAAATCCAAGTCAGTCCAAAATCTTTCCAGAACCACACCATGAACACTTTGTCTTTTTCCTTCCATCACTGGCTTTATGAGCCAGATAAAAAACAGGAGTAGCTAAGCATCTTTTTTTTTTTTTGCTTTATTAGTAGTGTTAATTGATGCCCCAAAGTTGTACATATTTATGAGGTATAGTATATTTCAATGCATGTATACATTGTATAATGGTATAATGATCAAATCAAGGCATAGCTATCAACTCAATTAGCACATCCATCGACTCAAACATTTATCATTTTTTTTTGTGCTGGGAACATTAAAAATCTGGTTTAATTATTTGAAAATAGGCATTTTTAATCTAAAACCTCTTCTTCAAGTATATATACAGTTAAAATCTCTGTAACACTGGGAAGAGGGAGGGAGTAGATCCCTGGATAGGGAAGTAGACACTTACAGGATTGTTTTCTACTGACTTTAGAGGAGAAAGAGGAAGCAAGATGTGTGTCTTCTGTTGCCTTGTTGTCACCAGGGCATTCTAGAGAAGATCAATGAGCGTCACCTCCACTTCTTCTCCTCTTATATTCCTATTGTTCCTTATACTCTCTGGCAGTGATTCTCAAATTTGAGCATGCTTAAGAATAATGTATGGTGCTTGAGAAAACACAGGTTGTTGGCAACACTCCTGGAATTACTAGTTCAAGCATTCTGGGGTGAATCCCAAGAAAGTTGCATTTCTAACAAGTTTCTAGCTGCTGCGGCTGCTGATGATGACGATGATGATTAGAGAACAGCTTTGAGACTGTTGCTCTGAGGCCTGTTTATGGCCTTAAATTTGGTCAAACATCAATTGGCAAAGTTAAAAACAACAACAATAAAACAAAAAAAAAAAACAAGTCAGTTTCTGGACAACACCCAGGACAGCTGAATCATAATCATTGGACTAAATGATACCTGGGTCCTTTCCCACTTTTTCATTCCATGACATTCTTAAAAGATTAAGAATAATGAGAATCCAGCGATGCCTGCAAACAGTCAAATCTCAATTTTTTTTTTTAACTTTCCTGGCATGTATATCACTTAATAAGACCACCAAATTACTAGTATTTTGATAATGGCTATTTTGATGTCACAGTAGAAAAAGCAGGTCTTTGGAATTAAACAGATTCAGATCTTCCATTTGCATGTGTGTAAGCTGGAGATAACATAATTATTTAATTTTATGATGATTATACAGCTCTTTCACATAGCATCTAATATGTAAATTTATTTTTTTATAAAAATAGAATAGTGTCATTCTTTATTCATGTGTTCCATAAATATCATTAATTTTGTATATCTGACACTCATAGGATTTAATGCCACAATTGTTTATGGTATATTACATTGTATAATTGGAGAAAATGTGTTGTTTATGAAATGTGAAATGTAATATTTTTTTTTCCTTTTTCTTTTGCCAGGAGTGATGGCTCACGCCTGTAATGCCAGCACTTTGGGAGGCCAAGGCAGGCAGGTCACCCGAAGTCAGGAGTTTGAGACCAGTGTGGCCAACATGGTGAAAGCCTGTCTGTACTAAAAATACAAAAATTTGCTGGGCATGGTGGCATGCACCTGTAGTCCCAGCTACTCGGGAGGCTGAGGCAGGAGAATTGCTTGAACCTAGAAGCAGGGGTTGCAGTGAGACAAGATTGCACCACTGCAACATAGCTTGGGTGACAGAGTGAGACTCTGTCTCAATCAGTCAATCAATCGATAAAATATTTTTTTTCAAATCAAGGTATCCTTAATTGCAATGTTAACAGTGATGAAAGGACACAGTGTCCAAGACCACAGTGACCTTTTTCTTTTGATTATTTCAGCAGAAGAGTAGGAAATGAGAAAGCAAATATTTTCTTGTGAACTCTAGACTTATGGAGGCTTTGGGCAAACAAGTCAATATTATTATCCTTACTTCAAGTTAGGGCTTCTGCAAGCCTACCCTAAAGGGTCAGATACAAGGAATCTCCAAAAGTTGTTCTCTAGCTATACTTCTAGCTGAGGGCAAAAGCAGCAGCTCCTGCTCATTTGTGAGTCAAGCAGGTGTTGAAATTCAAGCTTCTACAAGTTATGATGAAACTGCAGTGGGGAGTGAGTCACACAGGATCCCAGAGGCCCATTGCCGGTGTCAGGAAGCTAATGGATTATGCTCGCCACACAGGGATGCCAGGCCATGTAGGTGGCCTGACCTGGTTTGGCTGTGCAGAGCAGGAGATGCCTCTAATACCCAGCCAGGGCTGGGTTTCATGCAGCCCTGGAAAGTTTTCTCCAAGCAACTCTGACCCCAAGGAAAATGCTGCTTTTGCAGACTGAAAGCCTTGAAATTGCTTTAAAATGATTTGGTGAAGGCAACCTTGACTCAGGTCTCCCCAGGAGCAGGAGGATTCTGCTGTGAAATGACAGCAGGACACTGAGAACTTTCCATATACTTTACATGCCAGATCTCAATCTTTGCAACTACCTACTATATAATTATACACAATTTAAATATATTAGCTTATTTTATATAATCGTTTTATGCAGGAGATCGCTGAGATTTTATGAAATGGTGTAACTTAAATAGATTTACCCAGCAAGCAAGGGTTCATGTAGGGGTTCAAACCTAAGACTGTCAGATGGCAGATGGCCGAAATGTTCTCTTTTCTTTCTTTTTCTTTCTTTTCTTTTTATTTATTTTTTTGAAACAGAGCCTTGCTTCTTCGCCCAGACTGGAGTACAGTGGTGTGATCTCAGCTCACTGCAACCTCTGCCTCCCAGGTTCAAGTGATTCTCCTGCCTCAGCCTCCCCAGCAGCTGGGATTACAGGCATGTGCCACCATGCCCAGATAATTTTTGTATTTTTAGTAGAGACAGGGTTTCACCATGTTGGCCAGGCTGGTCTAGAACTTCTGACCTCAAGTGATCCGCCTGCCTCGGCCTCCCAAAGTGCTGGATTACAGGCATGAGCCACTGTGCCCGGCCGATGTTTTCTTAACTACTCCATCTATGTTCTGCAAACTTGGGTCGTTTAAACATCTTCTGCACTATGATCAAATTATGTATTTTTAAAAAGTTTTTAGTGTAAAATAGTTGTGCCTCAATCTAAGCAATGTTATCTATTAAACTATAGTTTTGATGCTTTACTTGTGTTTTTTTCCCCTAAAACATAGTGAGGTTAAAAAAAAATCTGTTTTGCTTATATATTATGATCATGATACATTAGGGTGATATAGCCACTCAGCATGTAGCCTCTCAAGGAATGTACCATTCTTCACTATTGTTTATCCAGGATATCTCTTTCTGCCTCCTTGCCCTTCTTCCTCTCTCCCTCCCTTTCATTGTTCCTTTCTCCTTCCTGATCCCAATTTTCAGGAAGCTCACTACATCTGTTTTGGCCTTATTACATCTCCCACCATTGCCCTATGCTTTTCTCAGCTACTTCTTCAAACGCTTGGTAGCAGACTGGATCTCCACCTCTCCAGATCCCTATCACATAGCCTCAAGTTTCCTGAGAATCTCTTTAAAGAAAAAAAGTGGAGATGTGGGGTGGAAAAAAGCAATAGAGGAGAATGACGACAATAAACACAATTACAGAGCTCTTACTACATGCCAGGATATGGTATAAGTACTTTTCATATTTTAATTATTTCAAACCTCACTGCAACATTATGTGATAATAATAGTATTATTCTATGTTACAGATGAGGACATGGAAACTGAAAGTGCTTGTCTCTTGTCTAAGGTCACCAGCTGGGACAAGGATGTGACCTAGACAGTCACTCGGTAGCTCAGAGTTTCAACCTCTTTTCTAAAAACGTCATGCTTTTAAAAAATTCTCTTTGGTTAATTCTTCTCTACAGGTTTTTGATCAGTTCTTTGGATTTTTCTTGGAAACTCTCCAAAATGTCCCTGAAAGAACCTTAGCCTTATTGTAAAAGTTGTTGGTTTTATTTCAGAAAGGGGAACTCATGAATGCCCTAACATATGTCAAATTTTCCATTCTGACACTCTACAAAGGTCTTTAACCTTACAAAAGAACATTCATTCCCAAACATAGTATAGGGAAAATTTTATGTTTATATAACTTAAAATAGGGCCTTTCTGTTTCAAGGATGGAAGTCAAGAGCTAAGAATATGTGGACACTGTAAAGTTCTATACTATGGTTTCAGTCATGAGCCATGACATTGAACCTTTCTGAATATCAATCAGAGTCCCTGACTCATCGCTTTGTTACAATATCAACTATGTAAGAAGTAGACCAAATTTTGACTAATTATATCTTAAAAATAAACATAACACAATAAACAAATTTGTTTTTATCTTATATCAGAGAGAAAGGCTGGTAAACTGGAATAACCATGGCTCTTGGAATTAGGAGGATTTCAGTTAACACCTGGCCACTTTTGAGCTGGGGGACATAACATTAAAACAAGCTTCAGTTCCTTGTCCAAAAATGAGCTTAAGGATCTCAGAACTGGGGGAAAATTAACTGCATCCAAAGTCTATTTAGCACTTTGGATGTGGAAGGGATTCAATACTACCCCATCCCACAACTTCTTTTTGCCATCTCTAACATAACTAGTTCTAGAATCCACATCCCTGAACACCAAAGCTTAAATAAAAGTCCACCAATTCCTTGAAGTATTTAACTTTTCCTAAGACAAATATTTCTTCTTTAAATTTGAAGATAGCCATAGCAATTTCCTTTTGTCAGATCCTTATTTTGTGAATCCTAGATCCAGAGAGTTTAGCATCAATTATAGCACAGTTCATCAAAAACAATCCAATCCTTCATTAGGAAGTTCAGATTTTTTAAGACAATTCAATTAATAGCATCCACCAACACATGTATTTTCTCTTTAGACCTACACTGACCTGAGGTCTTTTCTTCCCTTACGTTATTCCTCTGTTTCCCCATCTCTCACTCTCTCCCCCACCCCCAGTCTATGTTATGTATTCCATTCAACTTCTGTTTTTTTTTTCCCCACCAGCCTCTAATTGACCTGCTTTCTTTCTGTCATTCTCCTATTTCCTCAGAAATGCATCTGTCAAAGATGGAGAAGGAATAAAGTCAATTGTGAAGGCAATGACCTTGTACTCTTAAATTGGTTTAAGTATTAAGGCATGAGAATGAGAATTCCCGTATTAATACATTTGTCCAACTATATTTCAATTACTCTGTCTCATGTTATCCTAGCCTTTACTCTAGGAGCTCTTGAGTACCACATCTTATCTGTACACCTACGCCTGACAACACTGGACCCGAGGAACCCAACCATCTCTGCCCCAAACCGTTGCCCCTATTTTGGAAGCCCATGCTGCCTCCTTAGTTGGCCAAGAATGCCTCAGCAAGTTGGGTGGAGGGTCATATGACCCTAACCCCACCTACTAGTATTTGGATCAGAGGCAAAGCTTTCCTCCCAAGGAGGGTCCACACGTTCTTTCTCCTAGAAATTTGGCATCCAGTTTCACCTTGTTCAGTCAGGCTCTCTTTTGAAATCAGAGGTGATGTGAAGCCATATTTGTGGCAGTCATATTTGGTCCTGTGATGGCAAAGCAGAAAAAAGCAAAGGGAATTAATTGTGGAGAGAAATGAAAGATGACAGCAGAGAGAAGAAAGGAGAGATGAGGCAGAGAGAGGGAGATAAAGAGAAAGAAAGAGAACTAGAGATGAGAGGCTATGTTGTCCTCAGAAGAATCTAGCTGCCTTCAATCCAATAGTGATTTATTCTTCAGTCCCTAGTTCAAGTGGGGCCTTACTAACTTTCCTGAACTTGGATGATCTGAGAAGCCTCTGGATTTTGTGTAAGTTATTCTGTAAGGATCATGTTTCTTATTCCAGGAAATTTCTGAAAGAAATGGCATTAGACACAGACATGACAAACCTGTGGATTCTGTTCACATAAATTTTTATCTTTGAAGAATCATGTTAAAAAAATATGATACCATTTTATCAAAGGCTGCTTGAATGCATTGGCAGTAGGCTTTGTGAAATATTTAGGCTCATATGTCAGCAATTCTCAAGCTAATACTAAATCGGACCCTTCAGTAATTCAGTAACTAGAGTTTGATATCGCCATCCAAAAAAATGACAAAATTGGATAAAAGGTCCGGAATCTAAGAGGTGAAGAAATAATTTTGAATGTGTGGTTTGGACGCAGAACAAGCTAGGTACAAGTCCCAGCTCTGTCACTTACTGAGATTTGGGGCAAGTTATTAAATGGCACTAGGGCCGGGCACTGTAGCTCACACCCGTAATCCAGCACTTTGGGAGGCCAAGGCGGGTGGATCACCTGGGGTCAAGAGCTCAAGACTAGCCTGGCCAACATGGTGAAACCCCATCTCTACTAAAAATTAGCCGGCTGTGGTGGTGGGCACCTATAATCTCAGCTACTCGGGAGGCTGAGGCAGGAGAATCGCTTGAACCTGGTGGGCAGAGGTTGCAGTGAGGCAAGATTGTGCCACTTTACTCCAGTCTGGGCGAAAGAGCGAAACTCCATCTCAAATAATAATAATAATATATAATTATTATAATATATATTATATAATATATAATTATTATATTATACATTATATAATATATAATTATTATATTATACATTATATAATATATAATTATTATATTATACATTATATAATATATAATTATTATATTATACATTATATAATATATAATTATTATATTATATATTATATAATATATAATTATTATATTATATATTATATAATATATAATTATTATATTATATATTATATAATATATAATTATTATTATTATTATTACACTAGGACTCAGTTTTCTGTTAAACTGATCTTTTCTGTGAGGATTATGGAGAGAGAAGAGGAGGTAGAATAAAGAAGAAGGCGGAGAAAAAAAGAGCATGAGAGGAAATGTTGAGGTAGAGAAAGGAAATGAGAAAAGTTTCATTTTCATTGTTTTGCTTCAGCTTGCTCTAAAGCACTTGCAGACTGACATAGAGACATGGAGGCCTTTAATCTATGGAACAATTTTAAGGAGTGGGAATGATTCATAACCTTCACCTTTCATTATGTTGGATCGTTCTTTCTTAATATGTGGGGTCTCACTCTGCTGCCCAAGCTGGATTGCAGTAGTACAATCATACTCACTCTAACCCGAAACTCCTGTACTCAAGCCATCCTCTTGCCTCAGCCTCCTGAGTAGCTGGGACCACAGGCATCTGCCATCATGCCTGACTAATTTTTATTTATTGTTTTATAGAGATGGGTTTTCCCTGTGTTGCCTAGGCTGGTCTCGAACTCCTGGCTTCAAGCAATCCTCCTGCCTCAGCCTCCCAAAGTGTTGGGATTACAGATGTGAGCCTCTGCACCCAGCCCTGAACTAGTTATTTTTTATAAATGACTTTGTATCTTTAGTGGTATAGAAATAGAGCATTCATATTCATGACTTATCAAGCCTCAATGATCCTAATTGAATGTTTTGGCTACTCTGTTTTATCTCAAACTTAAAAATAAATATCTAATTCCCTGATATATTCTAGGGTAGATGCATAAATTTATTATTCAACAAAATTATTAAATACCTGCTAACTGGTTTGTAATTTTCTCTCCTGTTTAATATGTTTCATCTGGCACTTTTAATTAATGGAAGCCCCTAGAAACTGCAGATTTTGTTTTATACCTTACATGAATGTGTTTTATGCAACAGAAATGTGAAGGCCACATTAGAAGCTGAGGATCTCTGAAGGGAAGTGTATGAATATAACACAATATAAACCATATTTGATGTCCTCATGTTGCTATGTGACTTGTCTCTCAGCCCTATTATTATGTTGGCTCTAATTATACCTATTATCCATTCTGCCACCTTATACCAATGTTCCCCATTTTATTTTTCTACTCTTCATATTAGGGAAAATAATTTAATCTTCAGTTCCTATTTGCATAAAAATTTGAATTGTTCTGAATTGAGAATCTAAGTCTCAGTTCATCCTCTAATTCTGAAATTCATTAGCAAGATTTTACATAATCCTTTTAACCCTACTGTTTTTCAGTTTGTTGTTTTTTTCTCATCCATCAAATGGGACTAATAGCATCAATTTAATTGTGTTTATCTTGGATGATGTGTTGTACAATATATAGATTTTGTACTATTTAAAGAAAAAGCTAATGTATAGTTTCATTTTTTCATCAATACTATTCTAATAGTTTATTGTTAATAGGTTATTTTTACTTGGTTTTTATTGTTCCGTTTTTATGCTCAATTTGTCCATTATCACACTGCGCTAAAAAAAAAAAAAAAAAACTATTATAAAAGTGACATGACCTTTAAAATGTTCCAGAAAATTTTCATTAGTCATCTTCACTGCCTTCATCATTGTCCTCCTCCTGGTTTTCATAGGAGTAGGAGTGTGAGCATAATTTTTATAGTGTGACTTCTAAAGGAAAGCATGTATGCAGAAAAGTCTGAGTTGTTTGGTAATGAGGAAAGTCGAATCTTGCCTTATCCACACCTGCATACCACTGCCAAAGTCCCCTATCACTTTAGAGACTCTGTTTGAGAAGTGTGATATTGATTGCTGTGTTGCAGAAGCCAGCCTCGCAGCTGCATCCTCCGGAGAATACGCCGCAGTCGGCAGCACAGGATGGATGACTGACAGCCGGCACCCAGTCCTTTTTTTCCGACAAAGCTTTCTCTTGACGTTAATTTTCCATCTCCTCTCCTGTTAGCGGTTGCCAGTTTCCAACCTAATGCCCAACTGTCAATCAGCTACTGGTTATTTTTAATTAAGACCACTCAAAAATTTCCCTCACGTAACTTGCATGGAAAAAGGGGAATCCTTTTATTCATAATCGAATTTCATGTGCAAATCGCCTTCATCACACTTGTCTGGCAGTTCTGTAATGTGCCAGGGAAAAAGCAGCATTTTTTCCTGTTCAGCCATACATGGGCTCCACACCTTGCTTCTTGGATACTCAGTCACAATTATCTATTTTTATTTATGTCTCATTAAATCTGCAGCAGCTGGGTATTGACTGACTCGGCCCTTGCCCTCCATTGCCTGTGAGCAGATGGCACTGACTTCACTTGGGTCAGACTCTAAGGTGGACCTAGAGGAATGACTTACAAGAAAATATCATGGGGTGGGTAAATGATGATTCCCTGACAATGTATAAACCCCAACATGTTATGACCTGACAAGTATCAGGACACCTATCTTGGTTCCCATTCAAGACTTACTTAAATACAGGAATCAGAATGACTTGGCAATGTAGAACATAAAATATATTAAGCTCCTTTGATTTAGACAGCTGTTTCTGTTTCTTTTTTTTTTTTTTTTTCCTCCTTTTTTGAGACAGAGACTTGCTTTGTTGCCCAGGCTGGAGTGCAATGGCATGATCTCAGTTCACTGCAATCTCCACCTCCTGGGTTCAACAGATTCTCCTGCCTCAGCCTCCCCAATAAGTGGAACTGTATAGGCACATACCACCACACCCGGCTAATTTTTGTATTTTCAGTAGAAATGGGGTTTCACATTTTGGCCAGACTGGTCTCGAACTCCTGACCTCAGGTGATCTGCCCGCCTCAGCCTCTTCAAATGCTGGGATTACAGGCATGAACCACCGTGCCTGGCCTCTGTTTTTATTTTCTAAGAAAATTTTTACAAATAATTAAAAGCTACCCATAAACACGGGGAGAAATTGTCCCCCATTTTTATTCTTTATTGTACTATGGAAAAGTCAAGACCTTGTGTGAAGTTTTGAATAGTAATAAAAAAAATTGATGTCATATGGACCATACACTCATTATAATTAGAAATTATTTCTAAATTTGGTTCTGGGCTTGAGATCCAAATCATACTTTGGGGTTATTATATCCACACCTGGAGAATGCCATAGTGTGGGAGGTCCTTTCAGTCTTTTAATCACAAAATAGATATTTAAAAACCCATAGCTATGGAAAGTTTTATATAATGGAAAGAAGAAAATTCTGCCAGACATTCAATCATGCCAACCAAAGACCACTAGTGTTCTTTCATTCAGGGTGCAAGTACATGGTTGGTGAGTTCTGGCTGTGCATAAGTTTCATTTGTTCCTAGAAGGTGTTGCAATTTTTAAATATCTAAACCCTGACCATGGCACTCTTGTTCCAAAAATCTTCCAATGTCACCCATCACTTAACATATAAAGTTTATATTTCCTGGCAGCCTCTAAAAAGTCCTCATTGAATATCCCTCCTCCCCCCATTTCCCACTCTTTCCTCTTTTATTTTGACTGACATTGGAGTGTTCAGTATGCATGGCACTCTTCCATGTTCTTTATGTGTATTATGTCATTTAATTCTCACAACATATGTATTTGCAGATGCATACACTGAGACTTAGCCTTAGAGAGGTGCTATAATTTGCCTAATGTCATAATCACTGGCAGAGATAGCACTGCCTGTGTTCTTGAGGATTTTGCTGCATGGATATCCTAAAGTTCAACCATGCTGGGTTACTCATAATGATGCATCATTGCATCAATCCCTCAGTACCTTGTCCAACTATGCTTTTAAAAGATACATGTGAGACCGGGCGTGGTGGCTCATGCCTGTAATCCCAGCACTTTGGGAGGCCGAGGTGAGCGGATCACGAGATCAGGAGATCGAGATCATCCTGGCTAACACGGTGAAACCCCGTCCCTACTAAAAAAAAATACAAAAAAATTAGCCAGGCGTGGTGGCGGGCGCCTGTAGTCCCAGACACTCGGGAGGCTGAGGCAGGAGAATGGCATGAACCCGGGAGGCGGAGCTTGCAGTGAGCCGAGATCGCACCACTGCACTCCAGCCTGAGTGACAGAGAGACTTCATCTCAAAAAAAAAAAAAAAAAAGTTGCATGTGAGTCGGGCACAGTGGCTCACACCTATAACCCAGCACTTTGGGAGGCTGAGGCAGAAGGATCAATTGAGGCCAAGAGTTCCAGATCAGCCTGGGCAACATAGCAAGAAGCTATCTCTACTAAAAAATAAAATAAAATAAAATAAAAATTAGTTGGATGGGTGGTGTGCATCTGTAATCCCAGCTACTTGGGAGTCTGAGGTGAGTGGCTAATTTGAGCCTGGGAGTTCAAGGTTACAGTGAGCCTTGACTATGCCACTGCACTCCATCCTAGGTGACAGGGTAATGACTTGTCTGAAAAATAAAATGAAATAAAAAGTAAAATAAAGCTTGCACATGATACCAACAGCTCATTCAATATGTGGTTTTCTAATTGTTCATTTATCTCTTCCTTATAATCTCCTAAGAGAAAAAACTACCCTTTATTTTTTCATATCTAATGTCTAGTAAGAGACACATAGTATAGGCTGAATAAACAATATTTTATGAATAATGACATTGTCCACTGATGTGATAATAAACACAAAATGACAGTGAAAGAATAGAAATTCAAGATGGAGGATACCATAACAGACAATTTTATAGCAGATAGCAAATGCTCCCTGTGCACCAGTCACTTTCACACTGAGTGTTGTATTTGATCTTCAGACCACACGTAATATGATTAAATTTTATCTTTGTTTGCCAAATAATCCTATTTTAACCCTCTAAATCTTTAACCATCTATTTTTCTTTCTCTAGGAACATATGAACAGGAACACATCTGAAAGTATATACGCCAACACTGTTAATAGTAATTTTTTGGCAGATAAAGTTATACAGGCTTACATTTTTTGCTGTTTATTGCCCTCTTTCTTGAGTTATATGATCAAACTAATGGTGAAAAAAATCTTCATGGTCGGGCGTGGTGGGTCACGCCTGTAATCCCAGCACTTTGTGAGGCTGAGGCAGGTGGATCACTTGAGGCCAAGAGTTCGAGACCAGCCTGGCCAAAATGGTGAAACCCCATGTCTACTATAAATACAAATATTAGCTAGGTGTGGTGGTGGGTGCGTGTAGTCCCAGCTACTCAGAAGGCTGTGGCAGGAGAATCGCTTGAACCCAGGAGGCGGAGGTTCCAGTGAACTGAGATTGTGCCACTGCACTCCAGCCTGGGCAAGAAAGAGTGAGACTCCATCTCAAAATAAACAACTTCATGACATGAATTGAGTATTGGATGTGTAGTGTTTGAAGAGATTTCGTACAACCAATCATGCATCAATCTGGAGTTAAAAGGAAAAGTCTGCACTGATGAGAGAAATTTAGCAGCCATAGCACACAAAATGATAATTTATGAAATGGGGATAGATAATATCAACAAGGTAAAATATAGAGTTAAAAAAGTGGATAAGATGCCTCTCCCTGCTAATTCATTTAAGCCACCAAAAGGTTTATTTCATTCACACATATCTAATCATCCTCCTCCCACAAAACACATGGAGACTGCGAATGTGGCCCTTAACTTGAGAAGCTGCAAATTCATTCAGCAAATTCTCGTGGAGTCTCTGCCATGTCCAACAGTAGCTAGCTGTTCCAAATAACTTTATCACATACATGTCATCTCAAGGAGGAGGTACTAATATTATCACCATGTTATAGATAAGGAAATTGATACTCAGAATGATGAAAGAATGATGAAAATTATCAGTAAGTGGCTGATTGATAATTTTCAGATGTTACATTCATCATTCTGGGTCTTCTGATCTCTTTAGATCATTTTAAGAAAAAGCAAGACAAAAAAGGATTGCAAAAGTCATGCTTATACAAATAACGCTGTAGGAGCAGAAAAGAGGTCTAATTCAGCTACAGGAGCTCAAATTATAGAAGTTGATTTAAAAACAAATTAAACATAAATAATTTAAATAAAATTAGTCTCACATAGGCAGCTTTTGGGGTTATTTTTCATAATTCTTTCATTTCTTTTCACTTCTCCCTTACCCAACCCTGTGAAATAGTGATGCTCCCAACAGAGAATTTAGAATGTACACTTGGCATTTTTATAGAAGGATTAACTTCAAGATACAGTGTGGCAGATTAAAAATGGTCATGCAAATGTTGACACTTCTCTCATTGACAGATGGGGTATATCTCACCTCTCTTTGCATCTGAGCTGGCCTGTGACTGCACTGACAAATAGAATACATCAGAAATGTTTTATGCCAGTTCTGTGTCTAGCTTTGAAGACTGGTAGCTTCTCTCTTGTTCTCTTGGAGCAGCAAGAGAACATGGGGAAGAGATCTGTATATGCTGAGCCTGCTGCGTTGTGAGAAAATCCAAACTAGTCACATTGAGAGGTTATACGGGAGAGGGAGAAAGGAGAGGGAGAAATGCAGAGAGACAGAGAGAGGCAGGCAGATGCAACAGGATATTCAAGTCATTCCAGCTTCCACAAGACCTGAGACTGTACAGATCAGAGACAGGTGGCCCCTGATGTGCGCTGACCCAAAAAAATACAGACATCTAATTACAACAATGTAATGATTGAAGCCACCAAGTTTTGGTGTAGTTTGCTATACCACAATAGATAACCGAAACAGAAAGTCAATTTCTTCTCACTTCTAGGCTTAGAAGAATTGAGAAAAAGTCGGCAGGTATTTCTCCTGCCTGCTCTTTCTTATCTCTTTTCCACACTGCACTTTTTAACCTAGCAATGGAGGGCCATTTATCCCAAGATGCACTTTTGTCAGTATAGGGAGATTCTAGCTGTGAATTGGGGTCACAGTTATTACACTGTTGGCAGGATGAAGGGGAGCATAATACTAACATTTGAAACTGAAAAGAGAGTAAATTGTCCACATGAACACCTTTCAATCATTCAGCAAACCATCCCCATGTCCCAGAGTCTGTCTTTATCAGTGGCACACCCTGCTATAGTCTCACATAAAACAACCTTTCACAGAAACTTTGGTCATTTAGAAACTATAGAAATAGGAGCTCTAAAAAGCCTTAGATTCTATTTGGTGTATCTCCTTAATTCTGTTGCAGTCTTTCTTCTCAAGTGAGAATTTCAAAGATTAATAAAATTTTCTGAAGTTCAACTCTCAATATTTGCAAAAACATCTTTATGATAACTTTTATATCAACTATATGTTTTAAAACAAGTGAATCGAGTCTATGGAGTAATATTCTCACCTTTGCCAGGTGTCATACCCAAATTGTTGCTGTCTATTTAATATTGTCTTGAAGCTTCTATCCCATATCAGGATTAAGACTCATAGAACACCAAACATAGAAGAAAACTTAATGATGGTCTGCTCCAACCTCTTTTTTTTTTTCCAGATGAGTTAAAGGAGGTCCTAACATTATAAATGACTGCTTTAAGGTTACTGGATCAATTAGTGCTACTGACTATAAAACAAGGTTTCTTAACCTCACCACTATTGACATTTCATGCTGAATTATTCTCTGTTGAGTAGGGCTGTCCTGTGGATTGTAAAATGTTAAGCAGTAGGCCTGACCTCCACCCTGTAGATGCCAGTAGCACAAAAGTGACTCTTGATTTTGCCAAGTATCCCCTGGGGAGCAAAACCACTCTTATGTTGAAAATCATTGCTCTTGAGGGTCTAATATATGAATAAATTTTAATCTTTTTCTTCACTTTGCTTTCCTTTGCCTGCCCTCCACCTAACCTGGAGTTCATATGCCCTCAAAAGAGACAAATTACAACACTCTTTCCTTTTTATAGAAGTCAGAGTGTGATAGGTTCAACAAATATAATGCATTCTTGAATGATGCTGACAAAATATTGCGAGTAAGTCAGTCAAAATCCAAAACTTCGCCATCTATATCCCTCCAAAACTTTCTTTTTCTGGCCTGTTGCTATAACAGCTTACCGAGCAATCAATAAAATCTGATACTTCAAAGCCTGTTTTTTTGGATAGGCAGAGAATGTCAATCCCTATTCTCATCAAACGGAGTGGAAAGAAACAGCTCTTTAAACATAAAGACATTCTGCTTGTTGATTTCAGGTACATTCTTCTCAATTTAACTTGTTCTCTCCAATGATGACTTGAAGTTTCAGGAAGGTCATGATTCTCTATGGTGGAAACACCTGTGGCATTTATTTTAAAGTCTTCTGAATAATAAGGAAAAAATCCCAGCTCTTTAAAGAGACTTTTGTTCACTGACAATTTCTGTACTCACGATTTCATGAACTCACTCTGTACCAGATGTGTTTATGTGGTTAGGAGATGCAATAATGAAAGGAAAATCCCTGGACCCCAAAGAATCATGACCACGAAAGAAAAATGACATAAACAGAGTCCATTGTGCTAACTGCAATGATAGACTTAGCCTTCAAGTGTTGAACTCAACATGTGAAAGAGGACCCAAAAGGTAATGAGAAGTAGGACTAGCCTACAAAGAAATAGGCTAATTTCTAGGCCACAGGGACAACATATGCAAAGGCAGAGTGACATTACAGCATCCTTCTCTATGTAAATGGCTAGAAGATATTTATAAAATAATAATAAATTGTAGACTAGAGTATTATTAGGAAAAAAGCCAAGAAAAATGTTCTGGCTCCAGATAGATAAAGTTTTTTATCTACACCAGTAAGAACTTGTACTTTCTCCTCGAGCAATGAGAAATCAACAGAGGTTTATGCAGGATGTGACATGACCAAATTTGAGATTTATAAAAATTATTCTGAGGCTATAAAAAGAAATGCCAGATTAAAAGCTAGATGATAGCCCAAGAAAAAAGATGATGAAAATCTGAAGGAGAGAGGAAGCAGTGGAGGGAAAAAGAAGAGTACAAGGAAAAGGAAAATAAGGCAAGAAGGTGGGAAATATATAGAGAACAAAATCTAAGGATGAACTGATGAACTTTTGTTACTAATTAGGCATGAGGGTGAACTAGAAAGAAAGTTAAGAGAATGGAGGAGGATATTTAGGACTGAAGAAAATAAAACATTTATTTTGGTGGTGCTGACTTTGCAGTATCTGTGAGATAATTAGTTTGTCTCAGAAGGAGTATAGCATGTAGAGTAGAAAGCCATGAAGTAGTGACAGAAAACTCAACAACTCTCCATGTAAGGGAGGTTTTCC
This sequence comes from Homo sapiens, assembly GCF_000001405.40. Taxonomy (NCBI): domain Eukaryota; kingdom Metazoa; phylum Chordata; class Mammalia; order Primates; family Hominidae; genus Homo; species Homo sapiens. The sequence goes on from NC_000016.10 coordinate 64,175,377, forward strand.
TTCCCCCCAAATGTCAAATTCTCACCATAGGACCTCTGCACATTGTGTTCTATCTGACTGGAAACTCTTTCATCACTCCTGTAAAAAGCTTGACTTTTTAGACTGGGCACAGTGGCTCACACCTGTAATTCCAGAACTTTGGAAGGCAGAGGTGGGAGAAGCAGTTGAGTTCAGGAGTGTGTGTATATATATACACACACACACACACATATATATATACACACACATATATATGTATGTATATATAAGCTATCTATATACACATATATATGTATATTTATAAACTATGTATATATATACAAGCTATCTATATACACACGTGTATATATAAGCTATCTATATGCACACATATATATGTATCTATAAACTATATATGTATATGTAAGCTATATATATGTGTATATATATGCTATATATATGTGTATATGTATGCTATATATATGTGTATATGTATGTATTAGCTGGGCATGGTGGTATGAGCCCATAGTTCCAGTTACTTCAGATATTGAAGCAAGAAGATTGCTTGAGCCCAGGAATTTGAGGTTGCAGTGAGCTGCGATAGTGTCACTGTACCCCAGCCTGGGTGACAGAGTGAGATCCTGTCTCAAAAATAAAGTTTGATTTTTAAATTCTCAGCTCACAATTTTAAATATTACTCTAGATATAAATAGGTTCCTCGTTATTCTCTCACTGCATTTTTTTTTTTTTTTGAGACAGGGTCTTGGCTCACTGCAGCCTTAACCCCTGCGTTCAAGCAGTTCTCCCACATCAGCCTCCCAAGTAGCTGGGACCACAGGCATGTGCCACCACATCCAACTAATTTTTTTTTTGTATTTTTTGGTACAGATGGGGTTTTACATATTGGCCAGGGTGGTCTCGAACTCCTGACCTCAAGTTATCTGCTTGCCTAGGCCTCCAAAAATGTTGGGATTACAGGCGTGAGCCACTGAGACTGGCCTTCTATGATTCCTCCATAGAATATATCATGCATAATTATGTAATGAATTGTTTCTGTACTTGATCTGTCTCTTCTACTAGACTGCAAGCTCCCTGACAGCACAAACCCTAGCTGTTTAACTGACAAATACATCCCCATTGTTTGGCATTGTGACTAAACAATCACTCAAATATTTGGTGAATAAATAAGTGAATATTGGGTATATGAGTAATTAAAAAGGCTAACACTATTTGGAGCTTGGTGTAAGAATGATTGGTTTTTACACTTTGATACCAGGAACTATCATAAAACTGCCAAATTTGATTTCTGAGCCTAAGAGTTGACACTTTGAATCCCTCTTCCCTTCTCAGGAACAATAGCCTGAATTCCAGCCATTTTTTTGTTCTCCTGGTCAACCATAAGGATGAAACTGAGTTCCAGTACAGCTTGGAAAAGACATTTGTTTTAAACTTACAAATGTGCCACAAATCCCTTTCTTAGGATCTTAACCATGTCAAGGAAAGAGAAATACATGTTGCTGGAAGAGGAGCTGTCTTGCTTTTTAGTGAAATTATGCAGCTGCAATCATGTTACCTCAAACTCAATTTCCAAAGGACACAATGTGTGAAAAAGATCACACATCATAGGACAAAATCTGTTACACCTATATTTCTAAAAGATATTAGGGGTGTGAGAGGGTCAGAAGAAAGGAAGATCTTTCTGGTCCAGGCTATAGACAGAGGATCAATTCACTAGATGCTTGCCCAAAGCTTCCTAAAGTATGAAGTTTCATGATATTGCTTCAAATTTTTATGGGTTCATCTTTAAAAAAAAAAAAAAAGTTTGGCTGTGTCCCCAACCAAATCTCATTTTGAATTGTAACTCCAATAATTCCCATGTGTCATGGGAGGAACCCAGTGGGGAGTGATTGAATTATGTAGGTGGGTCTTTCCTGCACTGTTATGATAGTGAATGAGTCTCACAAGCTCTGATGATTTGATAAGGGGAAACCCACTTCACTTGGCTCTCATTCTTTTCTCTTGTCTGCTGCCATGTGAAATGTGCCTTTCACCTTCCACCATGACTGTGAGGCCTCCCAGCCATGTGGAACTGTAAGTCCAATAAACCTCTGTCTTTTGTAAATTGCCCAGTCTCGGGTATGTTTCTATTAGAAGTGTGAAAATGGACTAATACAGTCAATTGGTACCAGTAGAGTGGGGTGTTGCTGAAAAAGATACATGAAAATGTGGATGCAACTTTGGAACTGGGTAACAGGCGGAGGTTGGAACAGGTTGGAGGGCTCAGAAGAAGAGAGGGAAATTTGGAAAAGTTTGGAACTTCCTAGAGACTTGAATGACTTTGACAAAAATGCTTACAGTGATATGAACAATAAGGTCCAGGCTGAGGTGGTCTCAGATGGAGATGAGAAACTTGTTGGGGACTAGAGCAAAGGTGACTCTTGTTATGTTTTAGCAAAGAGACTGGCAGCATTTTGCCCCTGCCCTAAAGATCTGTGGAACTTTGAACTTGAGATGATTTAAGGTATCTGGCAGAAGAAATTTCTAAGCAGCAAAGCATTAAAGAGGTGACTTGGGTGCTGTTAAAGGCATTCAGTTTTATAAGGGAAACAGAGCATGAAAGTTTGGAAAATTTGCAGCCTGCCAATGTGATAGAAAAGAAAATCCCATTTTCTGAGGAGAAATTCAAACTGGCTGCAGAAATTTGCATAAGTAATGAAGAACCAAATGTTAATTCCCAAGACAATGGGGAAAATGTCTCCAGGGCAGGTCAAAGGTCTTCACAGCAGCCCCTCCCATCACAGGCCCAGAGGCCTAGGAGGAAAAAGTGGTTTTGTGGGCTGGGACCAGGGTCCCTGTGCTGTGTTCAGCCTATTGACTTGGTGCCCTGTATCCCAGCCTCTCCAGCCAAGGCTGAAAGGGACTAATGTAGAACTCAGGCCATGGCTTCAGAAGGTACAAGCCCCAAGACTTGGCAGATACTACATGGTATTGAGCCTGTGAGTGCACTGAAGTCAAGAATTGGGCTTTGGGAATCTCCACCTAGATTTCAGAGGATGTATGAAAATGCCTGGATGTCCAGGCAGAAGTTTGCTACAGGGGTGGGGCCCTCATAGAGATCCCCTGCTAGGGCAGTGTGAAAGGGAAATGTGGGTTTGGAACCTCCACACAGAGTCCCTACTGGGGCACCACCTAGTGGAGCTGTGAGAAGAGAGCCACCATCTTCCAGACCCCAGAATGGCCGATCTACTGACAGCTTGCACTGTGCACCTGGAAAAGCCACAGACAATCAATGCCAGTCCATGAAAGCAGCTGGGAGGGAGGCTGTACCCAGCAGAGCCACAGGGACAGAGCTGCCCAGGACCATGGGAACCCACGTTTTGCATCAGCATGATACAGACGCAAGACATGGAGTCAAAGGAGATCATTTTGGAGCTTTAAGATTTGACTGCCCCACTGGATTTCAGACTTGCGTGGGGCCAGTAGCCCCTTTGTTTTAGCCAATTTCTTCCATTTGAAATGGCTGTATTTACCCAATGCCTGTATCCCCATTGTATCTAAGAAGTAACTAACTTGCTTTTGATTTTACAGGATCATAGGTGGAAGGGACTTGCCTTGTCCCAGATGAAACACTGGACTGTAGACTTTTGAGTTAATGCTGAAATGAGTTAAGACTTTGGGGGCTGTTGGCAAGACATGATGCTTTTGAAATGTGACAACATTAGATTTGGGAGGGGCTGGGGTGGAATCATATGGTTTGGCTGTGCCCCCACCCAAATCTCTTCTGGAATTTTTACTCCCATAATTCCCACATGTTGTGGGAGGAACCTGGTAGGAGGTGACTGAATTATGGGGGTGAGTCTTTCCTGCACTGTTCTCATGATAGTGAATGAGTCTCACAAGATCTGAAGGTTTAATAAGGGGAAACCCATTTCGCTTAGCTCTCATTCTCCTCTTGTCTGCCGCCACATGAGATGTGCCCTTCACCTTCCACCATGATTGTGAGGCCTACTCAGCCATGTGGAACAGTAAGTCCAATAAACCTCTTTCTTTTGTAAATTGCCCAGTCTCATGTATGTCTTTATCAGCAGCATGAAAATGGACTAATACACCCTGGAAAATGAGATTCTGATAAAAATCGCCAAAATGCACAAATAATGTTTTGTACACCAGCTGAGTTCTAAAGCTGCACCTTCATTTTCCTTATGTGTTAAATGAAAATATTACTTATACCTCATAGGTAGTTATTCAGGTTAAACAAAATACTCTAAGAAATACTCTATGACAGTGGCTGGCATTGCAGATGACTGACAAATACATGGGAGAAAATATTTGCAAACTACACCTCTGACAAAGGACTGGTGTCTAGAATCTATAATACAAGAAACTCAAACAAAACAGCAAATAATCTCACCCGTAAGTGGGCAAAGGACATGAATATTTTTCAAAAGAAGACATCCAATCAGCCAACAAACATATGAAAACATGCTCAACATCAGTAATCATCAGGGAAATGCAAATTAAAACCTCCATGAGGTGCCACCTTCCTCCTGCAAGAAAGGCCATTATTAAATTTTGAAAAACAATAGATGTTAGTGTGGATTTGGGGAAAAGGGAACACTTACATACTGTGGAAATGTAAATTAATACAATCTCTATGGAAAAGAGTATGGAGGTTCCTGAAATAGCTAAAAGTAGATATACCATTCAAACTAGCAATCCCACTACCCAAAGTAAAATAAGTCATTATATAGACACTTGCACACATATGTTAATAAGGGCAGAATTCACAACTGCAAAGATGTGGATCCAACCTAGGTGCCCATTGGCTAATGAGTGGATAAAGAAAATGTGGTATATATACACCATGAAATACTACTCAGTCATTAAAAGGAATGAAATAAAGTCTCTTACAGCAACTTGGATGGAGCTGGAGGCCATTATTCTAAGTTGACTGACACAGGAGTAGAAAACCAAAAACCACATGTTCTCACTCATAAAGAGGAGCTAAGCTATGAGTAAGCAAAGTGATATAATGAACCTTAAAGACTCAGAAGATAGAAGGTGGGAGGGGGCTAAGGATAGAAAATTACACATTAGGGGCAATGTACTCTACTCAGGTTATGAATGCACTATATAATTCATCCATATAACAAAAAAACTACCGTACACCAAAAGCTATTGAAATAAACATTAAAAAACATTAAAAAAAAAAGCTGATACCTCTCACCCAGAAAAAAACAACAAAGTTTCTTCCCCCGTAATGATTCATTTGAGTTAATGTGTAATCTGTCCAGTTTGTAATGACATTTTAAGCATTCACTCTAAGTACAGAAGACAGTGTGCTCTTAGGTAATTATTAAACACCCAATAGTTATAAAATTCACGTATCTTCATTTAGATAACAGGGATTTTATAAATCCCATTTATTGCATCACATCTTACACACTATTTGCCTTCCCTTCTTTCTCTATGACACCAGGGACATAAAGAGTTTGGCCAAAATCCTTCTAGCTGTATTTCAGATCTGCGTCTTCCAATCCCACAACCTTATCTACTCTACATCCACAAAACTGTATTTTTATGATGAACATTTTCTCAAGTCCTGTTATGCTTTGGGCCCAAGCTAAATGATTAAAAGATGATTCAGATGTAATTCTTATACACCAGAGATAGATAGATGCAAAGGAATCTTTGTCAAAACCTCTATGTCTTTGTAATTGCCTGTTAAGATAGAGTAAATTTATATCCATGGGAGTTATTTATTTATAAGGAAATGATGGCTGAGAGAAGTTGAGATTCTGACACTAAGGGCATGCAACCAAGACTCAAACATAGGCTTCTTGACCTTAACTAACATTGTGTTTTACTTTCATGGAGCACTATCCAGTCTTAGATTTCTACTGAAGACAGGGGTGGGAGTTGACATTTTTTCCAGCAGGGAAACAATGAAGTAAAAAATATCTTCTTGATTAATCCTAGTTCAGAAAACTCAACTTTAAGTTCACAAAAAAGGGGAAAAAAAGTTTACAGGAAATTTTTTATTTATTCATATTTTAATTAGTCTATTAGCATGTGGAGGTAATGCACTTAAACGGGACCTTGGCAGGAAAAGCACATTTTAAACAATAAGAAACCAGGGAAAACATTGAACATAGCTATTATTTTTGGCAGGAGTCTTTTCTTACATCTTTTTTTTCCTTTTTGTTTCTCCTTTCTGGTAACAAAAGGGGAAAAAAGTTTAAATGGAAGAAGATTGCACAGAGGTGGGGATTAACATATTTAATTTACATAATGTCAGTGTGTTAAAGACTACGTAGGTGCAGCAGTATCAAATATTCTTAGTTAAGAAGCAGTTCAAAATAGGAACCTCTTTTATTGCACACATTCACGAAGTTCATTGTGAGGCTAAGTTAAAAACGAACACCATTTTCTCAGCAAAGGCAGCACAAGATCTGCATAGAGGTATATAATTATGTAGAAAGAAGAGTAGTTCTTCTCTTGATTCACTCCCCAGGTGATGTAATGGGGATATCATTGATGATATAATTTGATCCTCTTGGCCCATCAAATGGTGAAATCCACATAGAATACCATATTTTTATTTTAAAAATAGAATTATTTTATTTTAAAAATACAACACCATTGATGTTGGAAAGTTGTGTGTGTGTGTGTGTGTGTGTGTGTGTGTGTGTGTGTGTGTTTTAGGTAGAATCATCAAAATTCCTCTCTGTGAAAGACACAGCTGGCTGCATAGTAGCTTTCTGCCTTGGATGCTGCTAATGTTCACTAGCAGCTTTCACTCAGAGTTTTTACCGAAAGACCATAGTGCATTCTCCTCTACCCAGCATGCTTGGTTTAATGCCTGCATTGGAACGGTGTTCCAGATTCATCACTCAAAAATCAGTTCTGCTGTCCTTTAGCTAGAAACCTCTGGTTTGATTTTTATCTCAACGTTTCTGTTTGGGACTGAGGGAGAAGAATGAGAACCAATGACCCAGTTTTAAGATCAATGGGGTGTAATGGACACAACATGGGATCCATAATAACTAACTGGGTTCAAAGACAGTGTCAGAGTGGGGATGCTTCTTCTGCGTGTATTTTATTTATTTTCAGCTATAGGAAACTCGACTGTTGTGATACTTCTGGGTACATGTCTTTACCTTCTATATCTCAGGGAATCTGGAGTGACAATCATGTAGGTAAATTTGTAAAAGATGGGATATTCAGTTCCACATTGCACTACTTCCTCTTGGGGTTCAAGTCTACCTGTCCAGTGGTCCTTACTTACCTAGGTAGACCCTTTCCACATGATTAGGCCTGCTACCCTGGTCCAGAGTTGCTTGGGACTGGGTGAGTCCATTTGCCTAACTTGTGATTAAAGTAGCAGCAAGTTCATCTGGCTAACAGATCTAATGTGACATCCTTTGATCTTATACAGCCTTCATGGTCACCAAAGAGCTATTTAAGCTTCCCTGTGTATTCTTTGTTCTATATCAGATTGGTCAGAATCAAGATGGGAAAATGGATGATATATATAATTTGTTATCTGAGTGATAATTATGTTGCCTGTTGAATAATTTAAGACAAAAGATGAAGTTTAGATAAAGTGAAAACATGCAAAACATCTTACACAGTAGCTATGAAAGACAACTCAAATCGTACTTGACATCACCGTTCCCAGGAAAATTTATACTGTTGGCCAGAAAAAGTCGCTATGCCTTTCCTGTCCTTTCTGGACAGGAATGTTCAGAATTATTGTTTTAGATGATTGTATGTATGACCTGTTCTTCCTTAAAACCATTTAATGGCTCTCCCAGATGAAGAGGACAAAGTTCAATGTCCCTGGCACAGCAAAGAGGACATTTAGCAATCTGACCATTCCTTTCATTTCCCTCACATTAGTCTTTTCCCCAGTTTAGGTCCTTCCAGGCCTTAGCTGATGTTGAGTCTCCCATCTGAAATGTTTTCACCTTTCCTTCTCCACTGTGAATTTTTACCTGACTCACTTTCAAGGCCAAACTCACATGCCTCCCTCTCTGCTAAAGTGTATTAATTGTTCTTACCTCTGTGTTCTCAGAACTTTTTATTCATATCTTTACAATAGATTAATCACATTGTAACATCATTGATGTGTGTGTGTGTGAGTGTTTTCCTGGAAAAGTTAGGACTCCTAGAGGATAAAGATCATCAATTTATCACTTCTGTGTCTACAGAGCTTGAAAAACACTAGGTATTAAATAAATGTATAAGGGATTGAATATACAGCACTCACAAAAAATCTAATTGGGATTACAAAGTGTGAAAGAATTAAAATAAAACTCCATTATTTAAAAAGAAAAACAACATCTTTAAAACAGAGATCATCAAACCCTTTGCTTTGCCTTGTTCTTACATCCCTTTGCATTCATGGAGTTGTTAATTAGTTTCTTCTCCCTCTAGCTTTATAAGTCGCTATTGAGTATTTGTGTTTATAAACCAAATGATGTTGGTTCTTATGGGATCAAATTACGTACAACTGATGACTGGGTGTGTTGCAGGGTATTTATGACAGCTTTGTGAAACTTGGGAACAATTTTTTAGGAGAATTCCAATCAAGAAAAAATGTTTTTTTCCCCCCAGACACTGTCTGGTAAAAGCAATTGATTTTACAAATAAATTGCATTCATAAATACAAAATATTTTAACAAATATTAACAATTAAATAATAGCTAATTATTATTTAGTAATTAGTATGTTTCCAACACTTTCTAAAGCATTTTACAACTATTAACTCATTTAATTCTCAGGATAATGCTATTGAATGTTTATAATTTCCCCAATTCACAGCTGAGAAAAATGACCTTACAGGGGTAGGAAGAATCTCAGCCTCTATCTGAAACTAATCAGCTGACTACTGGTCCCACACTCCTAACTTAACAAATGTCACTATTGTATAAAGCAAAAAAGGTCAAACAATTTCAAAATAGCTCATGCATTTTACTTGTGGTTCTGAAATGCTGTAAAAGGGCACAAGGTCTGGAAGTAATGCTTTTAATCTTGTTATTGCTCTCATATGTCTCAGTGACTCCAGCATCATTCTCTCCAGTGCCTCTGTATTTATTGCCTGCTATGTGAACACTTCTCAGTTCCTGGCCTGTGCCTCTTTTCTACTCTCCATTCCCCATTTCTGACTCACAATCCCCATCAACAATGTCAAATGGGACACCTAAGTAAGACAGTACCCTCCTCACCTCAAGTATCACCTCCTGAAGAAAGTTTTCTCCAAGTAGCCAAACTAAAGCATCACCCGCTCATCCTCTATTCCATGCATTTCTTTAAAGCAGTGTATCTCTGGATTTACTGTATTAATTTATGGGCTAAGTGTGTGTTATATGTGTCCTCCCTCACTTCTCCCAGCACATGGATTTCTAGAGACCAAGAACATCATTTCAATGATCACTCAATCACCTTGCTTAGTTCTCAAAACAAAAGTATGCTGGTCTGAGTGGGGCTTATACAGAAGAGAAAAGTCAGAGGCCTAGTTACAATTGGTGAATGGGGAAAGATTGAAGACATTCACATTGTACTATTTTTGTAGTAATATATCAACTTTTCCAGAATGCTATATATTTAATGTATGTAATGCTACAGACACACACCTTCACCTGAGATATATGTATATACATTTTTTTAATTAATTCTCAAGTCTTGAGAAAATAAAAAAGATATCCCTCACATAGTAAAATATGTTGGAAATACATACGTGAGGTCTGACTGAGACTCCAGACAAGATGTAGTTTAAAATTATCAGATTTTTGTTCCTTCTTCACGTTCTAGTAAAGAACATCTGTAGTTATTGTCATAGACATAGCAATACCTGACTCTAATAGTACTAATGTATGCATCATTGATTATGTAACAGGCATTGAGTTTAATATTCTGTGTTGCTTTGTTCTTTTCCATTTTATGATTCATCACAATGTTGTGAGAAAGACACTTTCATTGCTCAATGAAATATGGAGAAACTGAGATTCAGAAAATTTTGTTAAATTGCCCTAGGTCAGAAAGTCAGGATTCAGGCTGGGCGCGGTGGCTCACGGTTGTAATCACAGTACTTCAGAAGGCCAAGGCGGGTGGATCACCTGAGGTCAGGAGTTCGAGACCAGCTGGTCAACACGTTGAAACCCTCTCTCTACTAAAAATACAAAAATTAGCCAGATGTGGTGGTATGCAACTGTAGTCCCAGCTACTCAGGAGGTGGAGGCAGGAAAATTGCTTGAACCTGGGAGGCAGATGTTGTAATGAGCTGAGATCATGCCACTGCACTCCAGCCTGGGTGACAAAGCAAGATTCTGTTTCAAAACAAAACAATAACAACAAAAAAAGTCAGGATTCAAACCTGAGTTTGACTGATTCTGGTCTATTATCTTAACCACAATGCTATACTATAAGTTTCTGAATATCAGAGAGTCCAGTGCAAAACTGGCCAAATGTAGCAATTAACAATCCCCACTCCCCTCCATTCCACCCCTACTGCCTCAGCTCTGTACAGAATGGAGAGTTAAGAGGAAGTATTTATTCATTGTTTAAATTGTCACTACGATGTGGAAGAAGTATGTTGTTGGCACTTATTTTTTCCAAACCTGACACTGTACATACCGAACGATTTTTCTATTCTCAGTCTTCTATGTCAAGAATAATTTTCATATCAACTAATAGTACATCAGGGATATTTTGCTTACAATTATTTTTGTCTGCCAGGAATAGGGGCTGCTCTTTCTCTACAGCCTAATCTTGGGTTTAGAGTGCTTACATTACTTGGCAACTATATTTCCAGGTGCTAGGCAATAGATTCTAAGAGAAATTTAACATGATAACAATGCACCGCTGGCAACAGTAGTCAAGACAGCATATTGATTTATTCCTGCAAACTTGTAAAGCTTTAGATGAGAGTCTTCCCTTATCACTAGCACTTTGCTGTCACTGAAATTGGCTTATAAGACACAAATCCATGTGAAAAGTTGGAAGGGTAACAATTAGAGAAGAAATGTTATCCTTTTAACCATCCATTTTCTGCAAAAGATTTTTCTGTTTCTATATACTTGTTTGTAATAACCGTTTCTAGAACAAGAGTAAACTAAAGATGATTCAAGTAATGCTAGATTTATTTATTGTGTGTAAGCTCTCCAGGGGATCAGACCATGTTTGTATTTTACTTTGTTGTATTCAAAACAGCTATCAGACTGCAGTGCACATCCTAACCTTAAAATATTGTCAAATGATTGCTAAGCAGTTTCTGTTTTATTATCTGTATCTTACAAGTAATAGTATCACCCTTTTACTGATTAGAAAAAAAACCTGTCTCAGGGAAATATGTAAAAATTAATATGGTAATTTGATAATAGGAATTATTTAATTTTCTATCCTGTTTTAGAATGATCCTCAGTCTTGGGATTTTCATTTCTCAAAGGAATTTTCCTCTGTTTTTTTTTTAAATTGTTGAATGGTTTGAGTGTGATAAGACAATGGAAAGGCCCCACAAACCTTCAATAGCTCCAAACTGCTGTGCAAGCTGCTCTGCCCCTTGGGCCATATGATCCAGCAGAGCCAACTGTGCTTGAAGAAACAGCAGCTGATAGGGAAGTTGTTTGGAGCCTTTGGCAAGCCCCTATAGGTGAATCACAGTACAAGCCTTTAGTATTTTGGAGCAAGGCTCTGCCGTCATTCATAGATAACCACGCTCCTTTAAACAACAACTATTAGCCTGCTACTTGGCCTTGGTAAAGACTGAATGCTTGACCATAAACCACGAAGTTGCCAAGCAACCTGAGATGCCCATCATGAACTGAGTGTCACCTGGCCTACAAAGTCATGGGTTGGGTGTGAACAGCAACTCTTCATCATCACATGGAAGTGGTAGATATGTGATATGCTAGGGTATGAGCAGTAGCAATGAGTTAATTTTTGAAGATTAAAGACAAATATGGCGGGGCGTGGTGGCTCACGCCTGTAATCCCAGCACTTTGGGAGGCTGAGGCGTGCAGATCGCAAAGTCAGGAGTTCAAGACCAGCCTGACCATTATGCGTGAAACCCCATCTCTACTACAAATACATAAATTAGCCAGGTGTGGTGGCGCATGCCTATAGTCCCAGCTAGTTGGAAGGCTGAGGCAGAAGAATCGCTTGAACCTGGGAGGCAAAGGTTGCAGTGAGCTGAGATCGTGCCACCACACTCCAGCCTGGGTGACAAAGTGAGGCTCTGTCTCAAACAAAAAAATAGTTGGATAATAATATATTTCTCCAGCTCCTTTCATATATAGTCATTCAATGCAGAACCACATGAATCAAGAATTGAAACAAAATCCTCACTTAGTTGGATTATTCCATCTAGTAAGAATTACTGTCCAAATGTCCTTAATAAGTTATGAGATTTCATAACCTTATCTATAAATTTAGCCAACTACTACATTAAGATTAAGATGGTAATACATAATCTAAATTGCCCAGGATAAGTAAAATACAACACAAACTTGATAAGTTAGCCTTATTTTTATGGTTAAATGTATTGAGCTTCAGAAAGCTTTTCTAAAATATTGGCATAGTGGAACAGACATGAATATGAGTTTCTGCTTATTTTTTGCTTTTATCCTTTTCTGTACTTTCCAATTTTTTAAAATGAATATCTACTGGCTTTTCCAAAATATATGTATTAGGATTCTTTCCAAAAAACTTCATGTAGGATTAGTACCATTCTTTGTATATTATTACAAAATTTGTAAACCATTATTTACATACTTCTTGGTATTTCATCAGGTGCACATGCCTTAATGTTTTGCTGTTGATAGTAATTTCAGGTTTTCTTTTTTTTCCTGGTTGTGTTTTGCTTTTTTACTTTTCTAAATAGCACTGGGATAAACATCTTATTTTGATTATTATAAGTAAATAGTAACTTTAAAAAAATTTTACAATTTACAGGCCATTATTGCCAGTAACTTCCTCTAAAATCCTATTCTAAAAGGAGCTATTATTACTGTAATTGCTATTCTGCTTTAGAAGAAAACGCAAGGTCGATGTGAACAGGAAGACAATGTTTAACAGTTGATGATCAGAGGAAGAGACCTTAATGTTTAGTATTTCATTTAGGAAAGGACTTAGGAAAGCTTCCTTATAATGACTAATTAATGCATTAATTTTATACTTGGGAAGAAATGGACATCAAAAACGAATTAGGTGATCACCAGTGACCACACATTTAAAAAAATCTTAATGTATGCTAAGCTTTCAAATTAACTCATTGTTCTTTTAGCAACAGTGCATAGATTTGACAGAACAAATAATGTTGGTCATTCTATTAAAAAAAGTAGATGAGCTAAAATTAATATCAATTGAAAACACGCCTGTGAAAATTAAGAGCTGAAATTAGAAAAATTATGTAGATATTTCTCAGTTTCTGTAGTAGAAATGCTGTCATTCTTTTTTTCTGTATGACCAATACCAGATGCAATCAAGCCAGACTTCCATTAAAAGGGGAATAAACCCAGCAAATATTTACTGTCTTTTTAGAAAAGTTTAATCTAACAATTAAAAAACATAGCAAACATAACACATTTATTTCCCACAAAAATAGTTTTCTTTTAAAAACATTTAAAGCACTCAGCCGGGCGCAGTGGCTCACACATGTAATCCCAGCACTTTGGGAGGCTGGGGCAGGCAGATCACAAGGTCAGGAGATGGGGACCATCCTGGCCAACACAGTGAAATCCCAACTCTAGTAAAAAAAAAAAAAAAAAAAAAAAAAAAAAAAAAAAAAAAAAAATTAGCCAAGTGTGGTGGTGGGCACCTGTAGTCCCAGCTACTCAGGAGGCTGAGGCAGGAGAATGGCATGAACCCAGGAGGCAGAGCTTGCAGTGAGCCCAGATCACATCACTGCACTCCAGCCTGGGTGACAGAGTGAGACTCTCTCTAAAAAAAAAAAAAAAAAGAAAAAAGGAAAAAAAAGAATATTTAAAGCACTCACTCATAGAAAGATAACATCACAAGTTCTTTATACCCAGAAAGGAATTCAGATTTGACTGATCCAGTGCTTTGCAATCTTGCATCTCCATGAACAAAGGTAGTAATAGACCTAGGGACAATCTATAGCTTTTAAGGATTTAATTCTTAAAAATTGTTTGCAACATAAGCTGGCAAAACTAACAATTATATATTTCTTATTTTGTCTTAAATTATACCAGTACACTGAGCTCTTCCTGCTGATCAAAAGCTTTAATTGACAAATGCATATTTAAATATGTATATACATATATACTTCATATATTTAGATATAGCATATATCTATATCAGTATATATATTTATATTATATATGCACACATAAACTTATTTTATACCACTCATAGGAGTTCAAGATATAATGTTGAACAAGATATAAGCAACAGTCCTGGCTTTCAGATTAGGGGGTACAAAGAAGTACATGGTTACACCAAAAGGTACATAGATGGACGGGGAAATAAAATGATTAGGACATTGTGCTATTGGGGCACATACATAATGCTGCTAACCAAGTCCTGGGTTTATGGAAGAAGCAATATCCAAGTGAAAACCAGAAATATAAGTAGAAGTTAGACAGGGAAAGGAGAACAGAGGGTTTTCCGAGCATAAGTAATAGCACAATGCAGATCATAAGTGAAGGAGAGAATGTTGAGAATGAAGGAAGTTGAGGCCCAATATGGTCATAGGCAGTATCCAATAGAGCATGATGCTTGGAGTTCATGCCACTGTGAATGTCTGAAGGAATCTCACATGTTGAATGGAGACCCTAAAGAAGGGATACCAGGTAGTGCTAATGAAAGGCTATATTATAATCCTCCATTGGCCATGTGATTTTTAGGCCAAGGATGCCTGAATTGCCTAGGGCTATGTGTAATGGTCATCCCTGGAAAACAGAAGGAAGATGAAGGCTATTCATAGTGTCAGAACCTTGGCTAAATTGTCAGGTTTCAGCAAAGAGTTCTATCTGCAGGGAGTCACAAAGCTTATCCATAAACAGAATCAAGGGAACTCATCAAATTTATAGAGAAAATATAGAACTGTGGCAAGGTGAACATGTGAGCTGATAGAGCTATGCCAGGGTACCCTAGTTGTAGGCTTGGAGTACCATGGTGAACTCTAGAGATGGTTTGATTGGAGGAGAGAGTCATAGGATAAGATTCAGATGTGGTCTGTTCAAAGAGATTATCTAATACCTCTCATTTCTTATGATTGTGTGGCACCGTCAGGGTACTAGTAGAATCAAACTTGTTAGTTTTGATCATTTAAGGGGTTTACTTTCAATTGAAGAATCATACATCAGATATTACAGCAGGGTGTGATAATTAGGATTCATGAATGTGTGTGTGTGTGTGTGTGTGTGTGTGTGTGTGTGTGTGTGTGTTTTACCACTGTCCCTGGATCATGTATGTGAAGCATTCAATAATATTCTCAATGAATGTAATATTCAGTAATTATATTGTTTGAGAATATGCTTACTAATAATTTAGGATACACTTGTTTCTTGTCTACTGCCCAGTATGCTGGAATTGGTTTTTTTTTTCTTTATATTGCTTCCTTCACCTGCTTTTAATTCTAAGAGTTATTCTGATTGGATCCAGTCACAAATTGTCACTGTCTATCCTACACTATATACAATTAAGACCGGCACCATGTTTTTAATGTATGATTCTCCATCTTATGTGGCTGTTCATGTACTGGTACTAGTTATCCAGTACTAATTCCCCGAGCCTCCAAATATTCTATCCGGGATTTAATATCTCTTTGTTTTACTGTTTCCTTCTAGGTTTCCGCAGCTCTGCTTCCTGATATTTCTCAGTGTTCTTCATCTTTTCTTCCTTCTTTCTTGCACTCAACAATACTTGTCTGGCCAAAGTTTTTGCCTGGAGATGCCAGTTTCCTTGCAACCTATCAGATCAAATCTTCAATGCCACAAGCCAGTGGGAATCTGATACTTATGGAATTCTTGAGATATATTAAATAAGTTGTCCTTCGGCATTCATAGGGGATTGGTTTCACTGCCCCCTCAAACACACCAGAATCCTCAGATATTCAAGTTTCTCATATAAATTAGCAAAGTAGCTGCATATAACCTACACAAATCCTCCCATATACTTTGTCATCACTAGATTGCATATGGTACCTAACACAATGTAAATGCTATGTAGTTGTTATGCTGTCTTGTTTGTATTACTTTTATTGTTGTATTGCTATGTTTTATTGTTTTTATTTTTTTTTCAAATATTTTTGATCTGCATTTGGTTGGGTCTGTGAATGCAAAACCCATAGACAGGAAGGGCTGACTGTATTTCCAAAAGTCTAAGAAGATGCTACGTTGCTGAAGACAGGAGCAAAGATGTTAGCCAGCACTTTCAAGGGCTTATCATTGAGCAGAATTATATCAATTCAGCAATGAGCAATAGATACTTTTAACTAAACTACATGTTTAGGTTAATTAAAATGTAGAGAGAAAAATCTTATAAGATTACTTCAAATCCCATTGAAAATACTTCAAAGCTACCCAGTGATTTTGGGGTATTCTTTGATATAATCTACAATGCTCTGCACAATGTTGCCTCTCTCTGAGTTTGTCCTTCCCCAAATCTCTCTTTCTTGTGTGTGTGTGTGTGTGTGTGTGTGTGTGCATGCGTGCGCATATACACTCATTCTTCCTTAGATCATTAATACACTGGCCTTCTCTGTTTTCTTGAACTCATAATTTTTGGCCCACAGAACTTTTCTAATGATGTTTCTCTACCATACTCTCGTCAATCATTTTCGCCTCCAGGGCAGAATTCAAGATTTGCCTAGGTAGGCCATTCCTAACAAGGTCAAATTCATTCAACACAAACTGAGCACCCACTATGTGCCATGTCCTGTCCTAGAAATTGGCCTATAGCAGTACACAAATCATCTCACTCTTGAACATCACTTATCACTGGTGCAATTTAATTTCTATCAGCATAATGCTCTAATAATTACTATCTTTTTCATTTTCCTGGTCTCTAAAGCTGGGAAGCATGGTTGTCTTTACTGACTTTTTGAATTGAAGCTCACAGCAGTTTAATACCCACTATTGGTAGACTGAGTAAATGAATCAAAGTACGATTCAATACCACAAGAGTGGAAGAATAAAACACATCTTTGGTTTTGACAAGCATAGGAATTACTACACATCCTCATTCACGAGTAAAACATGTACCGATTTATAAGCCCCCCTTTTAAGCTGATAGAAAGTAAGACAAAGCACAAAAGCAGTATTATACACAGAATACACACCTAGAGATAAGAAGAACATTCATCACAGCTTAGCCATGTGAAAAGCCCAGCCTAATTTGATCAATGAGGTCCATCAGTCTAGACCTCTTGGAGTCCAAAGTATACTTTGGGCATTAAATCATCAGTTTATTGTAATGTTGATCAAATTTACCATCAAAATGCCAAATTGGCCCTTCTCTGCATTCAGCCAACATCTCTGCTCTCGATATGACCAAAAAATTAATAGTTCTTAAAGATAGTGTAAGGGAAGAATGAATTTTCTTTACCTTTCCATAGCTGTCTAATCCTCACGATTGTCTGTAAAAGTTGCAGAATTATTTCATTTTTTAATGAATGGAAAGAAGAGTCGTTGCTGGCACATAGTGGAAAGCCAGTAATTATTTGAAAAGAGCAATCAATAAGGCATGGAGAGGGGATCGAGAGAGCTGAATTCTAGTCTCTGCTCTGTTACCATAGCCTTAAAATTTTCTTGTCAGTTTCTTTACCAAAGGGTTAACTTAACATGTTAAGTACTTTTATAGCTCTTATTTCAACAATTCCAGATAAACCTTTGTTGCTTTTAATTTGAAAACTTTCAGAACATTTGCCCTCCTAGAATTGAGAATCCTTATTTTAAAAAAAACCAAAAAGTTAGGGGTCTTCCCTGGGTCTGATTTTATACAATTAAATCAGAAACATTATTTTAGTTGTAAAATTATTCTATTGGTCCAGTCTTTCATAAAACAGTTTTAAATAATTTAGTATTTATATGTATATTATGGTTTCATGTTGCAAAACAGACAGCGAGGAAGTTCAGAAATTTTGAAATAAAAAAAGTCACTTGCACTATCATTAAGTTTATTTCCCATTCTCATTACTATCACTGTCAAAATAATAGGTTCAATTT
This sequence comes from Homo sapiens, assembly GCF_000001405.40. Classification (NCBI taxonomy): domain Eukaryota; kingdom Metazoa; phylum Chordata; class Mammalia; order Primates; family Hominidae; genus Homo; species Homo sapiens. The sequence continues at coordinate 64,193,526 of NC_000016.10, forward strand.
GTGTTATGTTCTCATTACAACCTTGAATGAGGCATCAGAATTTTAATGCCTCATTTTTTCAAAGAATTAGAGATCATCCTGTATTACATTGACATTTTCAATATTCCATATAAATGGACTGCTAGAAACCACCTTTGAGAAAATGTGTTTATACCCCCTTTTACCCTCACATTAACTTTTTTCCTTCTTTAATCAGGGAAGGGAGCAGGAGAAACTGTCCATCAGACAGATACAAGTTCTGGAAAGGTCATAGTATCTGTGTGTGTAAGCACATATTTATATATACACATGTAAACATACACATATATAACAGTGAACACACATACAAAATATTAAATATACATAACTTTTTATAATTTAAATATACTGGCACCTTAGTAATTACAACCTAAAGCTCAGAACTCATTCAAAATATAAAGTTCCAATTTATCAGATTAGGCTTTCTGGCATTTTTATTATTATTATTATTATTTTTAGAGAGATAGGGTCTCGCTCTTTTCCAGGCTGGTTTTGAATTCCTGGGCTCAAGCAATCTACTTGCCTCAGCTTCCCAAATCCCAGAATGCTGGGATTGATTACAGGAGTGAGCCACTGTGTGTGGCCAGGGTAAGTTTCTTCTTATTCTCACTTATGAAATACAGACTGAAGCTGGGCTTCAGTATTTGTAGCAGATTACTTACAATGTCCTCACTACAATAATGTGATTGTCTGATTTTCCATGTTTGTGATTTAGAGAAGTAACTTGTTTGAATCTACTATAATAACATAAATAATAGAAATTATCTAAAATTTATTCAGAATTTATTAAGTGCCATCAATAGTGTAAGCAATGTACTTTTATTAAAACATTCTCATTAGAACCCAAGGTGTCATTGATATCTACAGCATGTGGGTGAAAAAACTGAGTCACAGAGATGTGTATCCACTGTCCAAGGCCTCCAGCCAAATTGATGGAGCCAGAAATAACTTAAATAATTTTACAATGAAATAGGATAAAATATTCCTATAACATATTTAGTATAACAACGCTAAAAATTATAGCCAAAGAATTAATTCATTTTATTGAAAAGTCTATTTCAAGATGTGACTTCATCATACTAATGTAATTCTGTTTAAATTTTATTATACTATAATTTTAACATACTATGTTTATTATTGTTGATTTTATTAAAATAAATACTATAATTTACAATAAGATAGATGGAAAGAAATCACATTTATAGACCTTTAGCCTCCTGATCACTGGGTTAACCATAAAATCCATACTTGGGTAAGTCAGAAATGTTTGTCTTAGGGTCATGTCTCACTGCAATCAAATTCAGATCCAAGGGTTGTTTTATTATTATAATTTCTCCCCTAGATCGTAAGTAGTATTCTGGACAGATGTTACTGCAAATTATAGTAAAACCACAATAAAAAGAACCCTTAGGACTAATTTTTAGTAAGACTAAATATTTGTCATCATTAAATTAGATGTAATTTATATATTTGCTTGCAGAATTTCTTTGTTCTTGGTTATACCTTGAAAAAAAAGAAGTGGGGTGGGTGCTAGAGGGGGTCATTTGTATATGTTGAATTATTTTAAGTGCTTCTCTAGTTCCATATTGAAGAACATCAATATATTTTTGTTGTTAAAAATCATTCAGCTCAAAATTGTATACTTCAAACAATGATTTAGTCGTGCCTGATTGCACATTCTCTCATTAAAACTTTAAACTAAATTGAACTTTCTTCTCCACTCTAACTAATACACACATGCATATTCTACAGACAACTAAAACAGATTTTCAAGTTTTAATGTAGATTTTAAAGACTATAATTTTCTGTATCTTCATTGTGGATTTTGAGGGTTTAATTGCTATGTTATGGCTGCACTTATCAGAAAGCATTGAAAAGTGTTAATTACTTTGTACTTTAGTCAGTTATGAATGCATGTAAAATTTAAATTTTTCCTGAGAAGCATATAAAGTCCACATTTATTATGCTACAAAAACTTATGAAATGATTTAAAATAATTAACCCAAAGGCAGTCATACTCCATGTTTTAAACATTTGTATGGTGCATCAGATGAATCTTAGACAATTTGTTAAAAATATATATATAGTAATTTTAACAAGATCAAATCATTGAGGGGGAATGGAAAACAATGTGTATATACATGTGTGTGTATATGCATGTATGCACGTGTGTGTATGTACATTTGGTCAACAGTTTGGAGAAAAATAAGTGAATAGAAAATAAGCATAGAAATGACTTTAAAATAATCATCTGCTCCCACCATTTTCTTGGCACCCAGATGCCAGTACCACATCCTTGTTTTTCAATCCAATAGCAAGTCCTTCCTAAACTAATATAGGAACAGAAAACCAAGTACAATATGTTCTCACTTAGAAGTGGGAGCAAATGAAAAGAACTCATGGACACATAGAGGAGGACAACAGATACTGGGAGGAGGGAGAGGATTGGGCAAAATAACTATTGGCTAATAGGATTAATCCCAGGGTGACAAAATAATCTGTACAACAAACCCTTATAACATGGGTTTACCTATATAACAAACCCACATATGTACCCCTGAACTTTAAAATAAGAGCTAAAAAAAAATAAAATCCTTGCTAATAATTTTCATAAGACGACTTCTAGTGATTGGGAACTCACTATTACCTGAGGTGGTTTTATACTATATTTAATTCAACTGCAATTATTTTAAAATGTTCTTTGTGCTTAATTGAAACATACTAAATTGTTGATTATATATGCTACAATCATTATTAAATTAAAAAAATATGTTTGTGCATCTACTATGTCTCCAGCACTGTTTTGTGAGTGCTGGGTCACAGTGATGAAAACAGGGGAAGAAAATCCTCACCTTCATGGAGATTGTGTGTAGGGGTGGAAGGGAGGTGAACTATGTGATGTTAAATGAAGATAAATAACGAGGACAAAACATTTGCCATGAAAAAGAATCTGTTCTGATTAAGACATAAACCTTGGCACTAGAGACTCTAGATGACTGCCACATAACAGTTTTGAGATTCTGGATTCTTTATCTCAGTCAAATGTTATAAGAACCACATGACCCAATACATAAACATGGTTTGACCTTACTTCTTGACTCAGCATTCAGCAGTCTTAGCTATTTTGGTGATGTTGTAATGATGGTGGTGGTAATGGAAATGGAGGGAGTAGTGGTTTACTAAGAGAAATACTATCAGGTTCATGTACTTCTCAACATGGAGGCCTTTTAAACATTTGAGGACAAGGCTCAGTCCACTTAAAGCATCTTGACATCAAAATTTCTTGCCTCTCAGTCCTTAAATGGTTGTTTTCTATTTCCAACATCATTATTTTCATTGTCCTCCACAAAAGCTCCATGTCTTAATTCATGTTCCCTAATTCATCATGTGTGCATTTTTTGTTTTTAAAATTTGTAATTGACAGATAACTGCATAATTTAATTGTATAATTTATGATGTATAATTTATGATGTATAATGTTTTAATGTATTTATACATTTTAGAAGGAATAAATCAAGCTAATTAACATGTCCATTACGTCACCTGCTTATCATTGCTTTTGTGGTCAAGCTGTTTAAGATATACTCTTAGCAATTTGAAATATGCAATACATTATTATTAATTATTGTCACCATGCTGTGCAATAGACAGCTAAAACTTATTCCTACTGTTTAAATGAAACCTTGTACCGTTTGTCCAACACGTTCCTTTTCTGCATCCCCCACACCCCAGCCTCTGGTAACTGCCATTTTAATCTCTGCTTCTACAAGGTCAACTTTTTCAGATTCTACATATATGTAAGATCATGCAGTATTTGTCCTTCTGTACATGACATATTGCACTTAGCATAATCTCCTCTCATGTAATTTCAGCACTATTCATGGTAGTCAAGATATGGAAGCCACCTAAGTGTCTATGAACAGATAAAGAAAACGTGATATGTATATAAACACAATGGAATGCTACCCAGCCTTAAAAAAGGAAATTTTGTCATTAGCATGTATATATTTAAAAATGAGGAAAACAAAATACAGATAAAAATTGAAAACTGACCTAAAGAAAAGAATCACAGAATAGCATTTTCAGGCCAGGTAAGAACACCTGATGGTCCCACAGCAATGTGGAAACTTTAAGAACTATATTGAGAAGGCAAATATTCTGGCTACATATTAGGTATAGATATCTTTATTAAGTTGGCATACTGTATATTTTAAGTTCTTTCTTTCACTCACTCTCTTCCTCCCTTCTCTCTTATCTGTTTAGCTTTCAGTCAGACTTTCATATGCCATAGTTCAGTGGTATATATTTTAATTATTCTGTCAAGTGCCATGGCTAAATTCCATGAAAAGAATGAAAAAATCCTAAATCTGATAGAGACAGAAAAGGATTTTTTCTTTATAAAGAAATAACCTCTTCTAGGTGTTTAAATGCCAAAGTAAGTCAATCAAACTATAATTGAGTCTAATTGGGACTCCCACAAGTTCTTCATCTTTCACAAAAGTACCAAAAGTTAAGAAGAGGTGAAAAATTCATCTGTGACACTAGGTATTAAAAAAATCTGATCTGCCTAAGAAAATATCTGATTCTGAATCAGAAAAAACAAATCCAAAGCATTACCCTCATTAAATTAGAAATAACTCTACATCTTAATTCAACATATGGTACCTATCAACCCGATTTTCCAATAAATGATATAACATGATAAATAATTATTATTATATTTAAGGAACTAAGAAATACAAAGTTGGGATCTCAATTGTGATCTAAGGGGGAAAGTACAGTGTAAACAACTTTTGATGAAAAATGCCTTTCTACTGGAGGAATGGTAGTTCCTGCCAATTTAATATCTAAAATTGGTGTGTGTGTGTGTGTGTGTGTGTGTGTGTGTGTGTGTGTGTGTGTGTATTTCCATCTAAAACACATACAGCCTCCTGGTTTGATATAGTAAGCACACAAACACATGGAAGGCAAGAGTTCCTGTTTCTACTCTGAGCCTTGGGATTCCTCCAAATATAAAACAATACAAATTCATTTGCAGGGTGAAGTTCTTTGAGATTGCATAGAACTTGTGATATCTGTGATTTGAAAACGCATGTTTGCTCAAATGGGTGCTATCAATGAATATCCTGCTATCTAATTGGATACTTTCTATTCTTATTTGAATCCTCATCTCTACAATATGACTTTGTAGTGGGAGAATACATCAGAGATTGCACCAAATTAACACAAAACCAGGGAGGAACTTGCCAGAGGGAGTGGTTGTGTGCCTCTGCTGAGACACAGATCTGGAAGGATATATGATGTCAATGCACATCTTGCTGTTTCATTTTAAAAGCCAAATCTTTCCTCATAAGAAAACTTAGTTTTTACTTTATTATATTGTTTATTTATTTTGTGAGACAATGTTTCGCTTTTGTTGCTCAGGCTGGAGTGCACTGGCGTGATCTTGGCTCACTGCAACCTCCACCTTCCGGGTTCAGGTGATTCTCCTGCCTTAGTCTCCAGAGTAGCTGGGATTACAGGTGCCCGCCAACACACAGAATTTTTTTTTTCTGTATTTTTAGTATAGATGGGGTTTAACCATGTTGGCCAGGCTGGTCTGAAACTCCTGGCCTCTCAAGCAATCCTTCCGCCTCAGCCTCCCAAAGTGCTGGGATTATAGGCATGAGCCACTGTGCCTGGCCTTAGTTTTTACATTCTGATAGACTCCAGCAAGAATGGTTTTAGACCTAGAAGTGACACTTTTCTTCATGAAAATAGATGTATTAAAAATGGCAAATGTGAAGTTTCTTACAATGATTAAAGTGTTGAAAGTAAGAGCTATGATAAAAGGCAACAGAAATTAGGAATATTAAACTGTAAGCAATGAGTGTTGCTAGATAGCTGAATAACTATCTACAAAGACATGTTGGTTTATAACGCAGAATGAGGACAGTGACCCCCTTTTCAACAATCTTCATATGAGTAAACACTAAATGAATTTAAATCACCAGAGAAAGAGGAGGGGACTGATCTGTCACACTTTAAGTAGAAGAGAGAGCCATAAACACTTAGGATCTAATGGTGATCCACTATCTCTATATTTCACACAGGTGCTTCTGGTATATCCATTTGCAAGAGATTAACAAATTCACCACTGAATGTCTTTTATAATGTGGACAAGATGATCTTGGATAAGGTGATCTTTCATAATCTTAACCAAGAACTTAACTAATGCTAAGCATAAGATATGTTGGTTGCTAAACTTTAAAAAAAAAAAAAAAAAGGAAAGAAAAAGAAATCTCATTACAAATTCTTCTAAGCACTGCAATGGAATCAAAATCTGAGGTTGTATACAGGCCAGAAACTACCAGGAAACTGACATAAAGTTTATCCAAATATTATTTTAAACCTTAGTTTTATGGAACTTAGAAAGAGGAGTTGATCACTGCTGGATGCACAACTGCAAATATCCCTTTGCATAAGCACATTAATGATCAAATATTAGGTTACCCTTTTGTGACATTTTCTGAGCTTTAATTTTTATTTAATTGAAAGTATCTTAGAACTGCTCTAACATTTAGAAGCATGGCTCCGGGAAGGCCACACATTCTGTCTTCTTAAATACATATTTATCCAGCAGGCTAACATTTTAAGAGACAACTATGCCAGCTGTTAACAAGATTTTATGGGTTTAATGTTGACACATGAAAATTATAATTTATGCTTTATTAATTGTTGACAAAAGTGATGATTAACAAGAAACCAAATTAATTGTGCTTTCTCAATTAAAAAGATGTACCACAGCATACAATTTAACCAGATATTTATTTCCTCTTATCTTAGCAACATGGGATTTGCTTTTTAAAAATAAATAAAAATAAACAAATAAAACATTTTGAAGGCCTCAGATTTCTCCCTTCCTTTCTTCATATTGATTGATGAATAATCATGGAAAAATATTTAGCTCTAACTTTATGCTTCTGACACCTTTTTGTATTCTAGTCATGAAGTTAGGGATGTGATTCCTAACATTTTTCTCATTACTGGCCATGATATTTTAAAAATTAGACTGAATAGCTGAGATATCTTGTGTAATGGAAATATAATATTGCACATAGGTGTGTCCCTCTATATGTTAATTACATAGTTCACATTGTATCTTAATATGTACATTGAATAGCCAGATATATTAAGTATGACTTTCTTTTTGATTCTGTTGCTGATCAGCTTAGTTATTGAGAATAATGTTTCCTAGAAACAAACACTGAGGGCTGGGTGCAGTAGCTCATGCCTGTAATCCCAGCACTTTGGGAGGCTGAGGTGGGCAGATCACTTGAGGTCAGGAGTTCAAGACCAGCCTGGCCAACATAGGGAAATCCCATCTCCACTAAAAATACAAAAATTAGCCAGGCTTGGTGGTGCACGCCTGTAATCCCAGCTACTCAGGAGTCTGAGGTGGGAGAATCGCTTGAACCCAGGAGGTGGAGGTTGCATGCAGTGAGCTGAGATCATGCCATTGAACTCCAGCCTGGGTGACAGAGCAAGACTTCATCTCAAAGGAAACAAACACTGAACATTGGACAACATTTGTCTTACCATGGCCCCGACACAGTGGATTGTGTCTCTAGCCCCAGTTGAATATCTTAGAAATATGTGCTATGTAAAAATGTGAGCACAGAGAGAGACAGAGATTAAGACATCACTCCAAGAGTAAATTAGCTCAATATAAGAAAGGTACATCCAGAATTTAGGAATTTCTGACAACCACAAGTCCAGAGGTGCAGGTTTGTAGAAGTGATTTATTGGAGGTTTTCTCTCAAACACTGACCCATCCCAGCATGTTTAACTTTATCAGCAATTTTAATAATTTTATTCACTTTGCATTTTACCTTATACCATATGATATACTATATGTTCTAATATAAACTTATTCTTTTGAAAAAATGTATGTCTTTCTACACAATATGACATATATTCCATAATTTTGGAATTCTGTTCTCTACTGTTTCAACTCCAGAATCTAGAAAAGTGCGTGGAACACAATAAACACGCCATAACTACTTGTTAAGTTGATTTGTTACAACAGAAAAAAGGATGAACAATGATTCTGGCATAGGGAAGTATTATAGACTGAAAAACTTTTACATCATCTTATTCTGAATCGTGAATATTGTCAGTGAAGTGTCTATAATACATTACCAATTTTTATTTCATAAATTTAATGCCATAGGTCAGAATTGCTTTTCTTTCATCTATTTTTGTCTGCAAATATGTTGAAGAAACTGTCAAAAGCAGTTCAAAAGGAGGGGGAAAACAGCCTGGTGAGGCTGTGAATAAAATTTTCCTCATTCATGTGATCTCTTTTACTAAAAAGGTCTCCCAAGCTTGGTCCCCTGAGCCAGGCTTAATTAAAGTTATTTGCTCTTAGCTTACACCATGAATTGCCCCTTCTCACTTAGAGGTGGAGTCTACCACTGACAGCAGAGTTGAAATCCGGGGGCTTTACTTTCCATAGAATTTGTCCCTATGTCCTCAAATGAATTGCTTTAATTAAAATAACTTAGTGACCTTTTCTTTGCTCTCTTGGCTACAGAAATTTTCCATAACCCTCAGATTTGCCCTTGGGTTGTTAAAAATATTGCACTGAAAAAGTGCCTTTTGTTCTCCCAGAAATATCTTTTTTTGCAAACACCTCTTCTTTTTATGATGACTGTCTATTTTAGAGGAAATCTTTGATTGATACATGTTAACTCCACAGACTTAACATACTTCAAGCCTGGGCAAAAGCAAAGTTCTCCTAGGTTTGAATCTTTTGGATCTCACAAAATGATGGAGACTTGGTGGGTCTCAAAACGAGCAAGATGAAATAAATAAGCAATTATATGATCACTTATTTACAAGAAGATTTAGGATGATTTGCAATCATTGCAATATAGCAAAACTGCATTAAAATATCCTATTTTAAATGAACAGTTCTTTTAGTGTAAGAGATATCATGGTTACTCAAAATAATAATGAGGATGGCTAGATTTAGCAGGGACTTATTATGTGTTCCTTCAATCAAAGGCATTTATTGAACCATATAATAGGCGAGCCAGTGTGCTTGGTGTGCAATGGAGCAGTGAACAAAACAGATAGTCTCTCCCTTTAGCAATTGTATGTTCTCATGGGATAAATAGACATTACGTTGAATATCTCATATAAAAAATATATATAGCTGTGGTAAGCTATGTAAAAGAAACAAAGAGTTATTACTACAGAACTCAACTCAAACTAGAGGTGCATGGGGGTAGAAGGAAAAATCTCCCTGAGAAAGAAGCATTTAATCTAAAAAAAAGAATTAGCTGAGTCACAACCAGCGGGAAGGAGAAAAGCATTTCAGGTAGAGAACACAGCACGTGTGAAATGCCTGAGAGGTAGCCCATTTGAAGAATGATGAACAGCAGAAGAGTTGCAGGAAATGAGAATGTAGATCCTGCCCACCACATAAGACAGGTTACCAATGTCATGTAAAAGGATCTGTATTTGGTTCTAAGACAAATGGCAAAGCATTAATTGACACTGGTTTGTATTTTATGATAATTCTATCTTCTGTGTACAATATTGGATTAAAAGGTGCAAGAATGGCAAGGAGTCTACTGGATGAATACTTCCTGCAATAGTCCCCATGACAGCTTAGGTTTGAGGGGTTTAAAGACGAACTGAGGATTTAAAGTGCATAGAAGCACTTGGAGCATCTGTGAACACTTTACTAAAAATGACAACGATAAGGAAATCAAACTTGTGGTGAAGATGAAGTGTTCTGTTTTGAACACATTAAGCTTGGCATCACTGTAAGAGATTCAAGAGCAGATGCCAAGTGGACAGTTTTACATTTACAAACCCACACACATCTACTCAGACGTGAGTCAACAGCTGACGAGAGGGATCCATACTGCAGACAAAATGTTAAGAATCAATAACTTATAAATAATATTTATAGAAAATAAGACTGAGAACTATAAGCAGAAGGGTGGAAGAGCATTCATGGGTATGGAACATCATAGGAAGCAGTAACAGCAAGTTTTATAAAACGTAACTCAACTGTGTGAAATGATGTTTAGGGCTGGCGCTAGGGCTTCATCTTCCTTTTATAAATAAATCATATAGAATTCAGGAATACTTGCCAAAATTTATGCAGTGATGAAGATTTCAAATCAGCTTATTTTTTTAAACTCTAAATTTTTATCTCACTACGTCATGAGGATTTGAATACTAATACAAGAAAATTGAACTTATTTGCTTGTGCAGAGAGAATAATTAGAGCCTGGTCTCTTCAAGATGAGTTTATAGATGCAAATGCATTCTTATTAGAAGGCAGCATTAGGGTCTCAACTGCCCTGAAGTGTCCACCTTCTCTTGAATATATATACACACACACACAGTCTCACTCTGTTGCCCAGGCTGGATGCAGTGGTGTGATCTCGGTTCACTGACACCTTTGCCTCCTGGGTTCAAGCAATTCTCCTGCCACAGCCTCCTGAGAGCTGGGACTACAGGTGCCCGACACCATGCTCAGCTAATTTTTGTATTTTTAGTAGAGAAGAAATTTCACCATGTTGGCCAGGTTGGTGTCGAACTCCTGACCTCAGGTGATCTGCCTGCCTTGGCCTCCCAAATTGCTGGGATTACAGGCATGAGCCACCACACCAGCCCTTCTCTGGAATTTCTTATGGCAGTTCTAAAGGTCTTCTCTGGAATTTCTACTGTATTTGTCCAATTAGACACATTAAGGAGCTTTTGGAATAAGGAAATAGAGTCACACTGGAAGTGTAAAGGAGTGGAATAATCAAGAATTATGACAAAATAGGTTTCTACGGAAAAATAAAAACATTTTTTTCAGTTTGGGCCTCTTTGACTATCCTACGTGAAAAAGCCACCTCTCTGCATAACTGTATCTCATTATCCTGCCACATTTTCCTTCATAATATATATACAGGTTTGTTTGTTTGCTGCCTTCCCTGCTCATTAAGCCCAAGGAAGATCGGAACTTTGCCCTCCTATTCACTCATTGATGGCATCTAGAAGAAAGCCTATGCTTACTGCTCACTCAATAAAGAACAGTTGAATGATCAGATGATTATTGAAATAAACTTCAGAGGTGACCCAAGAGTTGTCCATTTGTACAAACCTCACAGGACTCAAATGCTAGTATAACTAGAATAGCCATAATTTGTCAGAATAAAGTCTGTTTCTACCAATCTGGTGCCTGGACAAAAGGATAAGAGAGGAGAAAATGCCACTGTTTATTGAGAGTTATCTTAAGGGGGTATCTAGTTGATGTATGGAATGTGGGTGTCCTGGACAGCAGAGAAAATAATGGATGGCAAGTATATCATTCTATTCTCATACTGCTATGAAGAAATACTCAAGACTGGGTAATTTATAAAGAAAAAGAGGTTTAATGGGCTGACAGTTCCACATGACTGGGGAGACATCCACAATCTTGGCAGAAGGTGAAGGAGGAACTAAGGCAGGTCTTACATGGTGGTGGGCAAGAGAGTCTGTGAAGGGGAACTGTCCTTTATAATACCATCAGATCTTGTGAAACTTATTCACAATCACTAGAAAAGCACCAGAAAAACCTGTCCCTGTGATTTAATTACCTCCCACAAGCTCTCTCCCACAATACATGGGGAATATGGGAGCTACAATTCAAGGTGATATTTGGGTGGGGACATGGCCAAACCATATCAGCAAGTATAGGCAATAGTTGAAAAACAAATTATCACCTCTTTTTAATCTTCCTCCTCTAAATAAGAAATGTTTAACTGGACTCATAGGATGTCTCAGTCTTCCTCCTTTTTCCAGTCTCTACCTTTCTACTACAAATGAAAATAAATGGGTAAATTTCAGAATATTCAGAATATTTTAGGTATAGTAGGTGACAGCCCCAAGTAGTACAGTTTAAAAGGCAATAATCAGTCACACACATATGGGTACACTTTAGACTAAACTTTTCCAAATATATGATTTTAAAAAATATTTTAAAGACATATTTCACAACTTCTAAATTTACCTGTTTAACTCAATATGTATCTATGGATTGAGGGACTGACTTTGGGAATGGTTATGCTATCTTACTCAGGAAATTCAAAATCATTTCTAATATAAGCAACATCTTTAGTTTCCTGTCCTGTAGCTGAAATTTACCAAAATGAAGCACTTCGAGATGCAGCTAAAATTTTTAATATATTTTTCAGGAAAGAAAGAAAGTTAAGTAAGTTTATATTGTTTAATATAAAAAGAGATGTTATTTGCACATAAGTAAATGTTTTTCTTGATACATATTATTTTAAAAACAATATTAATTAATGTATGATATATGATATAAATGTGGTATTTATGTCTATATTTCATGGAGTAGTAATTAAACCACTATTTCTACGTGACTAATTTTTTTAGTCCCTGTAAAATACACATATACTCAACCCTAGCACTATTCACACTCCAGGTGAGATGTGGCCCACTTTGGGAGGCTCTCCTATACGTGGTGGGATGTTTACCAGCACTGCTGTCCTCTACCCCTAGATACAAGTTGCATCTAACCCTAAGTTGTGACAAACAAAAAGATACCCAGAGATTGTCAAATGTCAGCTGCAGGGTTGGGGGGGTGGGGTGGGGTGAAGTGGGCAGGGTGGGGGGTGGGAGTGGTGGGGGGCGGAGTGGTGGAGGGGGTGGGGGTGGGGGGGTCGGAGTGGTGGTGGGGGCCAGCAAAATTACCCCAGGTTGAGAACCACTGCAACAGAAAAATGTTTCTCAGAGTCCCAGAGACAGAGTGTCTGTTTAAATTTGAAGATATCTGGTCCTTCTCAAAATTAATTATATTAGAATATTTAAGGATTCTGGGAATCGGAATTTTCACAAGCATGCTTGATGATATTGAGGAAATTGTAACTTTAATATGCAAATACATGAGATAATCACAAAACTCATTCCTGAGGAAGAGTGAGGACAATGATTCTGTGAGTTTAACATATATTTTTGTGATTTGCAGATGCACTGAGTAATAAAAAACATACTTGCAACTGAAAGGTATGTTTTGTTAGATTTGCAGTAGGTAATTAATATCACTGCATAAGAATTGTATTGCTACGTGAAATGACAATTATTTCTATAGTTCTGGGCACATCTTTAGTCTAAACACTAAATGCGTAGTAGTAAATGTTAGTCTTTTCTCTTCTTCCTTCTCTAAGTATTTCCATCTTGAAAAAAAAATGGAAAGAAAACTATCTTTCCTGTTATACAAGAAAGCAGATTAAAAAGGAGCTTGTGATAATGCTTTGGAAAACACAAATGTTACTTATGCTAATGGGCCATTATTATTATCTGTATCATGAGTATTTTTTTAAGATAATAGTCAAATTCCTGTTCTTCCTCTTTCCTTATGAGCTGCCTCCACACATAGTCCAGCTGTGGCATATGGTCAATTCTTGATTGTCTGTGAATGGATTAGCCGCCTTGTCGATTACCCATGTGCACTGGGGGCTGACTCATTATCTAGCTGAACAGCTGCTAACACATCTGTCTTCTCCCACTCACCATGGGATCCCCACAGAGGCTTTCCCCTTTTACCAGCTCATACAACTCTGATCATTTGCATTTTCCTCTGAAATAACCCAGCTTAACAGAGCTGCAGCCTAAGGGTTTGTGGGGGAAGGAAGTAGAAAGGAAGTAAGTCATCAAGCACATTTCCAAATTTTATCTACTCTTCATAAAGAGTCCCATAGAAATTGGCCCCCTATCTACTACACGAGTAGATAATTTTTGTTTGACGAATGGTATTTGCCCTATCAGCATACATATTTTTGTCTCCTGAAGTAGGATAAAGAGTTAAATGGGGAAATAAAAGAAAGGTAGTCATAAGAATTTCAGAGGCCGGGCATGATGGCTTATGCCTGTAATCCCAGCACTTTGGGAGGCCGAAGTGGGCAGATTGCCTGAGGTCAGGAGTTTGAGACCAGTCTGGCCAATATGATGAAACCCCATCTCTACTAAAAATACCAAAAAAAAAAAAAAAAAATTAATCAGGCGTGGTGGTGTGTGCCTGTAATCCCAGCTACTCAGGAGGCTGAGGCAGGGGAATTGCTTGAACCGGGGAGGTGGAGGTTGCAGTGAGCAGAGATTGTGCCACTGCACTCCAGCCTGGGCGACAGAGCAAGACTCCATCTCAAAAAAAAAAAGAAAATTTCAGAAAAGCACAGGACAGAGAAATTGATACTTTGTATAACCCATGGTGGTAACTTTCAAACATATTCATAAACTCTTTGACACTCCTCCCATTAAAAGTTGAGGGTCATAAGCCTTCTGTTTGATTCTGACTGACCTTAGTAAATAGTCTACTAGCTGACTATGGCCACAGCAACATGACACGACTTGCAAGTATAGGTCATAAAGGTGCTATAGCTTCCGACTGATTTTCTAGAAGACTCGGACTAGAGAACTGAGCCACCATGGAATAAGTCTGACTGCACTGAAGCCATGATCCTGTGAAGAAGCCTAAACTAGTTAATGCTGAGATATTACATGGAGAATATCCAAGACAACACGAAGAGAGGGGGAATAGCCAGCCCCAACCTGTCCCAGTCCCTTGCTGTTCTACCTTCAGCCCCTATCTCACTGTAGCCCACAACTGGAATCACCAGCCTGAACTTTCTCAAATTCCTGACCTGCAGAAAATGTGAAAGATGCTACCATGATTGTTGTTATCCTAAAGCACTAGATTTGGGGGTAATTTGCTGTAGAGCAGCAGATAGCTGATATCTCCTCTAACATAGCAACTTACACCCTGTTATTTTTGTTGTTTAAGAATTAGATTCTTCTCTGGCAGGAAAATGGGAGTAAAGGCCCAGTGCCATGGGCATCTCTCCTTTATTTAACAAGCACATGTTATGTCAGACTCTATTCCAGACAAGGCTAATTTGTAGTTAAGCATACTATACTTCCTGAACTCCTAGAATATATAAAGTACAGGATGGAGACAGGTGTTAGGGTTGAATAGCTAAGTAAGTAAATAAGAAGGATACACATAGTGAAAAGTACTAATGCAGATAAAATATATAACAAGGTCATATACCAGGCAAATGTGACCTAATCAGGGAGAAGGGAGGCAAAAAGGAGAGTGGCTGGACTTTATTTCCCAACTCTCCAGTGAAATATCTTGGTATCTCTTGGGTATATACCATATCAAAACTCAGCAATATGACAGAACACAAAACATGGCTATAGGTAAAATCCATTATATAAATTGTGAAGGCTTTAAGCTTCCCTGTGCTCTGGGATCCCAGGTTTTTAAACAAAAGTTTAACCAATTAGGAAATTAAACCAACAACAAAAACAAGAGAGTAAGTTCTTTATCAGATAAGATTCTGACTCAAGTTTCCAACCATTTGATTATTGCTTTGCCTCAAGATAATGACAAAAAGAGTCATTGACTCAATTTGCACTTTTGAGCCATCTGCATTTGTGTTCCTTCTCATTGGTGTCTAGCAGCAAGAGCGTATTTGATAAATAATAAATTCAATGAATCTCTACGATTCCAAACACTGTGAGGGAAGGCAAAATAAGAAAAAAAAAAAAAAGCTTCATCCTTCAGAAATTAATACTATGGAAAAACCTATCATCCAAAAGATTTATGTATTCTATAAGTTTATTAAACACCAATTTAAGGACTTATTACTAGGTGCTATAATAGATAGCAAATAATATCAGATACTGTCACTGATGTCACACTATATCTTTTCTTTCTTATTGAAAGGATTAAGATAATGTATCAGATAATTTCATTCCAGGTCGCTTTCCCATTACATAGTAACCATTTTTAGCCAAAGTTGTACTTTGAACTTGTACTCATATATCCTTTCTCTTACGATTTTTGAAATTTTTTTCTATTTACTTTTTTTCTATTATTCCTATTAACAATATTAAAGATGATTTTTATCTATACACTTCTGCAACCTTTATAGGACTAAAGAAGTGTTGTAGGTTATGGGTGATGTCATAGACTCTGGATTCAAAAATGCATGGAAACTAAATCTATATCTAACTATTTGACCAAATATATAGTTTCACTCTCTATGCCTACATTTTAGCATCTGTAAAATAGGACTAGTAATATGTTTTACCTTATATTGCTCTTTTAAGAATTAAGTAGTAAAAGTGCTCAGCGTAGTGTATTGTCCATATTAAACACTCAGCAAAAATAATTTCATAAAATTACAACAACTTTATTTTGCTCGAAAAACCTCCTTCGGGTAAATGCAGTTTTCTTATCCCCATTTTGTAGAAGATGAAAGTTGAGACATTATATTGTTTGGCTATGGCCACATAGTAAGTTGTATAGTTGGTATTCAAGTCCCAAACTTCTGATTTCATACCCAGATATAACTTTATAGTTATTGAGATTTATTATTTTTCTAAAAATTTCTCATCTTAATTCTATGATTAGAAATAATTTAGGATCAATTCATTTTTCCTCTCTTTCACTCATTCCTCACATCAATGCAATAAAGCCTATTAGTTCTTGCTCCAAAATATATTATGAAACTATTCCCCATCTATGTTCCTGGATACCATTTGGTCCAAGGCATTATTCCCTCACAAGTGGATGGCAGCAAGAGTCAACTTAATCATCTCATGTTGGCACCCCCTCCACCTTTTCCAAGTATTACAGAATACAAATCCCTTCTTGTGGTCTATCAAGGCTGACACAATATTGCTCTGTCTACTCCTCCTCTTCACCTCTAAAGACCCCTTTCTCTGAGTTAGTAGCCTCAGATTCTTTGGCCTTCTGTCCAAAGTCATCTCAGGAGCTTCCTCTGCCTATTCCCTCTGTCTGGAATGACCTTTGCTCCCAAACCAATGCTTCTTATGACTAGATCATACCTGAAATTCAGAAATAAACTTAAAATCATCTCTAGCATGGGCTGCTTCTGTCCATGACTAAAAATTCCAAATGATTCTGCACTCCCCCAACTCCAGTTGCATGCTTCTGTTTTACTTTGTTTTATAATACATTCTACTGTAGAAAACTACTTCTTTTGATCATTTGGTCAATAATTATTCCTTGTCTTCTTCCACTAAAATATAAGTGCTAGAAAATTCATATACCTTGTTCATTACTGAATGCTCATTATGTAGAAAAATATGAGGCATAGAATAGGCTTCCAATTAATACTTCCAGAATAATGAATTAACTATACTCCCTGAAGTTTTGTTGAACTTAAGAGTGCACATAAGAGTACACATGTTCTAGCAAACTTGGCATTTCCGAGGAATAGGATATCCATTTAAACGTCTCTCACAATAGAGGCAGAAGGTCAATGGAGAGAAAAAGGCATTAGCAGAATGATATTAGTAAATAATATTGCTTACAATAACAGCAATAACAATGGATTGAATGTATAGTAATTACCCAACTAAGTTTAAGGAAAATTTACATATATTCTATCACTTAATTATTTCAACAAAGTTAGAGGAAGATGTTACTGTTCCCATTTTACAGACAAAAAAATTGAGGCCCAAAAAAGCTATATCCCAAAGTTATCCTCTCCCCAAGTGATAGAGACAATATTTGTACCTAGGTGTATCCGTCTCCAAAGACATTATTTGTAAAGACTCTTCCATAGAGCAATTTGCTTTATTCTCACTGCCTGTTATTTTCAATGACAAATAACCTAGCTAATTCCATCAAGGAGGAAGAAAAACTGCTACATTATTCATCGGCAACACATATGCTTTTGAAAACTGGTAGACATGGTTCTCAGTCTATCAAAACACACTGAAGTCTTTATTATCCTTACAGTTTTAAAGTCTAGTATAGTCACTGAAAGATTTAGGTTTTGTTTTTCTACAAGGCCTCATCTGAGGGAAGACAAAGAAACTGAAAGCAAATGTGTTAACACTGTGATCACTCCACATTCAGACACTCCGACGGGAACAGAGGGACCAGAGTGTGAGGTCTGGTGTGGGGATCTTTTCAGCACTTGCTGGTGAGCAGGACAAATGAAAGGGGCCTGGCGAGGCTGAACACCCGTAATTGGGGTCAGAACACTGGATTTATTACATTTTCCATTCACTGAAAGGCCTTTTCCTATGGTTCTATTTCATTTCCAGCTCCTTGTATTTTAAACATTGAGTGAAATGCAAATGCGACATTTAAGCTTTCAGAGGGACACTGAAAATGAACAGCCCTGTGCAGAGAGTATTTGGTATGGATTGGTGGGGTAGTGAGGAGAGAAAAGGTTATTACATCCTAAGGAAATTTAACTGAAGAGGAGGAAGGAAAATAAAAGACTAAGTTACTCATATAAACGAGAAAACAGAATGACAGCAGAAGTGTATTGAAAATGAATCTGTTCCCTCCTCAAATTGTTTGAAAAAAGTCTTTATTGGGAAAGTCTAAGAATTTTATATTAGTCAGGAAAATATAGATCGTCTCTTTTCCTGGGTTGACTGATGAGAGAAAGAGGGCTTGTGGGGAAGAAATTTCAATCTCTTTTTATAAATAATATTTTAGTTCTCTGCTACTTATTTAACAAGTTCTGGAAAACATTGTATTTTGGGGAGGTGGAACTTGAATCTATCAGATATTATAGATGGAAAATATATGCATTCATTTATATTTACAGAAAATATCTGTGAACTTCCTAAAACAGTGAAAGAGATTGTATAACCCAAAATAGTAGGTAAGTAGTAGCAAAATACCATTGGGGCAGAAAAGAAGTGGCAACAAAATAACTACAATGACAAATTAAATCTCTGTTGAAGGTAAAGAATCCAGAAAAGTCTAGTGATTTATTAGTAATCATTGTGGAAGATGATAGCTAATGAACAGGCCAAGGGAAGGGGAAGGCAGGACTCTCTGGTTGGGGAGAGTTCCTATAGATGGAAATCCAGGCCAACAGTCAATGCAGCATGCCAATCTATATGTAATTGATGAGATAAAAAGCCACTCACAGCCGATCACAGGGGCTCATGTCTGTAATCCCAGCACTTTGGGAGACCGAGGCAGACAGATAACAAGGTCAGAAGATCGAGACCATCCTGGCCAACATGGTGAAACCCCATCTCTACTAAAATACAAAAAAGTAGCTGGGTGTGGTGGTGCACGCCTGTAGTCCCAGCTACTCAGGAGGCTGAGGCAGGGGAATCGCTTGAACCTGGGAGGCGGAGGTTGCACTCTAGCCTGGCAATAGAGCAAGACTCCTTCTCAAAAAAAAAAAAAAAAAGCCAACCACAAAGATGTTTTCTAGATATTCTCTTCCTCAGGATTCCTAATGAAGTACCCATATTTATTCATCATCCCTCTGTGAACCTTAATGATATATTAGCATTTTTACATAGGCTTTCATTTTCTTTATCTCTCTTCCTCCCCATCCACCATCAACTCCCCCCTAACTCCTGCTATTGGGGGTGGTAAGAAAAATTAGCTAGATTAAGGTTATGGGAATAATTTTTTTAAGAAGTAGTCTATGCCTTTTTGTTCTTGGTCCCTATGCAGCTCTGAGACATAAGCATCATTGCAAAGACATAATGGAGAACATTTGTGAAGGTTTAAAGTTCAAAAGCAACATATTGACATTACAACAGTCTTCTATGGTGTGGGTGGCATTCTTGCTTCCCCATTAAAGAAAGTGCAGGAAGAGCAGAATCAAGAAAGTGCAGGAACAGCAGAATCAAGAAAGTGCCAGCTATGTTCTCCTGAAATAGACTCTCAAAGGATGCTGCCAATGGTATTCTTCAAACATCTGGAAATGGTGCATTATAGCTGAAGCATGGCCCAGGTGTCTGCAAAAATATCACTGCATCATGAACCTGCTTGAGGGCCAGGTGCTTGTTCCACTTGTATATCCTATGAGAGAGTGGAATCTTGGGTCACAGAATATGTGACACTCTTCCTTGAAATGCTTTCAGCTGCTGGTCTAATTTTTTTTTGGGATTATCTATTCAAAATGGCATGATCCAGCTTCAAAGTCATTGTTGTAGCCTTCTATGCTACCATTCACTCCTTACATATATGTTGTTCTTCTTTTAGGAAAGAGAAATTTAAGTCCATTATCTTTTTCTCCTTCAACTAACATCCTAGAAGTTAGTAACATGTTTTCTTGGAGAGAAAAAACGAGTCAGGTAAAAAGCAGAGACCTTGCAAAAATTTGCTTCTTTACAAAATGTGGTATTATCCTAATCACTTAAGTATATAACATATAGAAGACCTTAGACCCCAGTATGCTATAAGGAAATGAATTACAGCAATGGTTGGCAAGTTCTTAACACATATGACCGTCTCGATGATTTTGTAAAAAATTTCTCAGGTCAGGCTGGGCGCAGTGGCTCATGCCTGTAATCCCAGCACTTTGGGAGGCCAAGGTGAGTGGAGCACTTGAGGTCAGGAGTTGGAGACCAGCATGGCCAACATGATGAAACCCCATCTCTACTAAAAATACAAAAAATTAGCCAGGTGTGGTGGTATGCACGATCCTGTAGTACCAGCTACCCGGGAGGTTGAGGCACAAGGATTGCCTGAACCCAGGAGATGGAGATTGCAGTGAGCTGAGATCTCAGTACTGCACTCCAGCCTGGATGACAGAGTGAGACCCTGTCTCAAATAAATAAATAAATAAATAAATAAATAAATAAGTCAGTCAGAGACTTGGCTTCACTCATTTGCTGTGTAACATCAGATGAGTCATTTCTCAGTTTCTTCTCTTGTAAAATCAGATTAATAATAATTATTCTTGCAATTCATAGGATGGTTTTGAAGATAAAAACAAAGTAACTTGCAAACGTAAGTTACTATGAAAATTGGCATATTCATTTTTGCAGGTTAAATTGTCAGGTGTTATGAAGCTACACTGGGTAAGTTGAAGACTCTCCTTTGTTGGAGCAGTACTATGATTCCCAGTAGAATTTCCTACACTGTTGCTTTTGCTGTGATTTTAGGTTTCTACTGGTTCCTTCCACTTCTATTGAACCTCGGAATCTGCTCAGACTCCTTCACCTTTCACCCTTAAAAGTCAATAAAATACGATCATTAACCCCAAATCTAAGAAATCACCACTGATGAGCTCTCCACTCTTGCCATCATACAAAAATTTCTTACCTTCTGAGCTCAACATTCCTCTGTTGTCTCTACATTCCTATGTTGATATTTACCTCTCATCTCTTCAATGTGGTCATTTTATAGATTTTCCCCCCAAATTTTTTAAATTATTATTTTACTCTTCTTTATTCTCTAGCTTCTGGTATCCTGGTTTACTTTGATGAGAACTATTATATTCCAACCACAGACACTAGAGAAATGCATCCAGGCATAAGTCAAACTACCGCCACTCAAAAATGTGGGAGACAGAACATCTCACTTTATTTCTCTGCTTCTAGGCTTCTTCATTCAGGCTTCCTTATGTACTAGTTGAATGAGCATAAGAAAGTTAAATCAATCTGAGTCTGTTTCCTCATGTCAAAAATAGGAAGAATAATACTTGCCATCATGTGAATTACAGTAGAGAATGCATATGCATAGTAGTTAAAATAGTATCTGACTTATAGCACATGAGCAATATATCTTAGCTATTATTTAACTCACTCATTCTTAGGTTTAAAATTTTAAATTAGCTGATTTCTAGTTTATGAACTAGTCTGCTATTTGGCTGGTTATTATGAATCAAAAAGACAAAATAGCAAAAGGGCCAATTCCTCTTGGTATTCCAGTGCTTGTGCTTAATCATTTCAGATAGATTTAGAGAATTCTAACAAACTGTCTCTGTGATCTGTACAAGATTGGTGGTAAAAGTGGTCCCTCTCCAGATGTTTCCTCCTTGAGGAGGGAGCTCCAGTAATTTCACATTTCTGACCTCTTTCTCTTCCTCATTCAATGCTTCCCAGGAGTGGAGGAGTTACTTAGTTTGATTGATGGGTTTAGATGGAGAACTATGGGGCATACATCGCCTAGTCACTTTTGCTACCTGTCCCCTGAGAGCTACTCTCAGCCCTGCTAACATAGAATGTCTTTGGTTTTTCTGTGCCCTGCAAAATCTCTATGGGCTCAGGCCCTCACATGGGGAGGTTTGCAGTTTAACAGCACTTACTCTTACTGACTGGGTAAGTCTGACTACTTCTGGGTATCAATATTAGAAAGTCCGCATTCTGACAGTGTGTAATACTGTGAGTTTTATGATATGAAACTGATTTTTTGGTTCTATATTACTGTGTTAGAACTACCTTAATAAAATATCATGGACAGGGTGCTTTAAACAACAGAAACTTATTTTCTCATATTCTGGAGGCCAGAAGTTCAAGATCAAGGTACAAGGCAGGTTTGCTTTCTCCTGGGGCCTCACTCCCTGGATCGCAGATGGCACCCTTCTCATTGTGTCCTCACATGGCCTTTTCTGTGCGCATGTATATCCTTGGTGTCTCTTCCTCTTCTTACAAAAATACCAGCCATCCTGAATCAGGTCTTTACTCTTATAACCTTATTTGGCCTTAATTACCTCTTTACAGGCTCTTTTTTCCAAATACAGTCACATTTTAAAGCACTGAGAGGGCTTTAACATATGAATTTCACGGGGACAGAATTCAGTTCATAAGAGGTTCACATTGGTCTTTCTCTCAGTTGTTTCCAAACCTTGTGCTTAGGCAGGAGAATACAGGTGAGTCATTTGGGAACCTCAATAGACTTACAGCAGTGGTTTTCAATCTTATTTTTATTAAATCTTTATGGAGCCTTTTTAGATATTGTCTTTCCCTAATCAAAATCCCTTCCCATGAAATTGTAATGCTACACATACCTGTTTATGTACTATGGCCCTATGGAGGGTCATAAGTCATTCTAATCTCTGAGATGCTTTGACCCTGAGAACCAATTTTGCCCTTCTGGGGTGGTCTTGCATGCAATAAAGATTGAATGAAAGCAGGAACAGAGAGAAGTCAGCAAGTAAGCAATATGAGCCATGCCAGAGCTCCTCAGCTTCTTCCAAAGCAGTACTATGAGCCTTCAGCTCCATGGACCTCAGAGAGGGAGGGTCCACACTCATGGAGTATAAAAGGAATTTTCTCCAATCTGTAGAACCCTCTTATAAATAAGTAAGCATGTGTTTCTACGTCTTTGTCCATAATACATCACCACATTTTAAGGGTATATTTGTGGTTGATAGTCTGGTTTAAAACATAGACTAGGTGGTATATATAATACTGTATTTTATAAGATCTGGGTAAATACGAGTAAGATCCTTCAAACTAACATGTCATTATCCTCCAGAATAGTTGAAACGAAGGCATAAAATACTCATGTGACTCTCACTTGAGAGACATAGCACATATGAATTAGAACACCGTGAAAAGAAAAAACAAAAGGGCTTTCAGAGATGAGCACCCAATGAAAAGTTCCTGAGACAGGGATCCAAAATTGTAGATGCTGACATGCTATGGGGCTGCTTTTCATGTGGACAACTCTCAATAAGTGCTAGACTGAATAAATGCTGCACAGACTTATTTATTCAGTAAAAGCTAATGCATGATACTCCAGGCACTAACAGAAAAAGAAAACAAAATAACAGAAGATTAACAACAACAAACATTTGAGAGCATTTCTATGCCAGAATGGGGGCAAAACATAACCTCATTTAATACTCACAACAACCTGAAGAGGTAGTCGCTATCACTCTTATTCTGCAGACGAATCACAAGGAAGTTTAACAAGGTGAGTAGCTTGTTAGATGTCAAACCAAAGTCTATCTGATTACAGAGTCTGCATATTTTACCATTCACCATCCTGGCTGCTACCTGCTCCCAACTCCTGGGTAGAGATAATAAAACTAATTTTCCCATTAGTTTAGTTTCCAAAAACTAATTGCCAACACTACTCTTCTTAGAGTTTGCCTTTTTACACTGTTAGAGGGGTCTCTGCGAGAGTTACCAGCTATTTATATCGTCATATGAAAGGAGAAGACATGAGTCATTTGCAGAGGGATTGTGTACAGAGGCAGAGCTGCAGCAGTGTAAACTATCACCAATAAAATCACGGTACCCTCACAACGCCCACCCTGCTGAAGTAAGTATCATAGGTAGCGATTCCTACCTTACAAATGAGGACACCAAGGACTAGAGAGTTCAGTGATTTATCCAAAGTTCTATATCCAGATAGAAGCATCAAAAAGAACTGTAACCTCTGACTCTAAGTTTGCTGCCAGACCCACTACTTCACATTTCCTCCCAAGCACGACAGTCATTGTGACCTTCCCTCTGCCCCACTGTGTTTCCCCTCATACCCCTGTCCTCTCTTTCCCTTCCTCAACACCACTGTGATTTTGAAGTTTGTAAGCCATTTGGAGGAGATCAACTTCTCCAGCATCCAGACAGTCTTTTACTAAACAAGTCTGCAGTACATAAGGCAGAGGAAGGATTTACATCTTTGACTCTCTTCCAGCAGATATTACTTATCTTGAACTGCCAGCAGAGCCTCGTCTATATGATGTGTGTGACAGTGAAGAATAGCTTTTTGCTGCATTGCCGGGCTTGCATGGGTAAAAGAAATTAGGAGCCATTGTTTGATGGAATGAATATTCAGGAACATCTCTGGGAAATCTTGGCAAGGAGGGTAAGGTGTAAGACCTAGTCTTAGGGGCCGTGAAAATAATCCCCAATTCACTGAGCCCTGGCAATGATTTTGTAGAGACTTGACAAGCAAAAAAAAAAAAAAAAAACCACTCACACACACACAAAAACCATATATGTATGAGAGATTATTCAACCCTCCTTAAGACCCTTGTAGGCCATGTCTTTCCCAGTAAAGCTGTTCTTGAATTACATAGCATGTGAAAAAAGTTTGTTTATAACCTCGTCCTTAAAAACTTGGCATCAATTGTGTCTCATAAACATAATTGTAAGCAGTGGTCATTATAGATAGTGGCTGGATATATATCTTAGTAGTGACTTGCATACATCAAACAATCAACAAATGATAAGTCTTATTAACTGTAGTGCTCATTTCATGTATACATATTTATTGTTTTTCTAAAGTATAGTACATCTTCAGTGATATGAGAGATATCTGCATTTCATAGTATGCCTGTGGTAAAATGACATCAAGTTTTCAAACTTATCTTCACAGTCCTTAGCACAGAATAGAAATATTAATGAACCTATTTTCGGACAAATTCCTAAGGAATATCTGGCAATGTTCAGGTTTTATAGTTAAAATTAGATCTGAGAGATATCTGGTTGATTCTGCAGAATTCGTTGAAATGAAGTCAAAATATACATTTTGTCACAAATTTGATAACATATTTGAACTAGATTCTCTTAGTTTACTGCAATATTTTCCTAACAGTAACAAAACATGTTTTAAACTTGTACTTATGTCAGTTTAATAGTATTGGATGATGTGCAAAGGAGATTATTTTGTGCTTTTACATTTTAAATAGAATGGTTGACCTCTGAATCCAGAATCTTATTTAAGCTTTAAAATTCTTCAGAATGAGATATAAGGTGGAACTGCACTCAAGGACGCAATCTTGGTAATGAACAGTAGTTCAAAATCCTACTTTGACATATAAAATAATGTGTTAAAAAATAAAACATGCTTGATAGGCACCAACATTTTTTTTTAGCATAAGCATAGTGTCAAGCACTAACATAATATAAACTATTTTGAGGGTTTTAATCACAGCACATATGTATTTTTCCTCTATCTACTCCAATATCAAATGCTAGCAGTATAAGATCTACTTTTGAATAAATTAAGGGAATGTGAGTATACCTCTCATTGCAAAATACACACATTTTTAAAATGCTCAACATGAAAATATACCATATATTATTTTCTATTTCAAATATACATGGGAAGCTCTGTGCATGGTTTTATCTTAGGTGAACTCCTCACGTGTGCCAGTCATTGATGAAAGAGTTGCAGACCTCATATAGGTAACTGCGTACCATTCAAGGGACAGGAAGAGGTCACTCATGAAAAAAGCAAGCTATTTTCCAGCAGCATTAGCCAGCATTGTTCCAAATTAGGGATGTATCCATTCATGGACCCGTGGAGAAGTAAGTATGAGATCAATTTCAGACAAGCTATAGGACTGAAGGTATGGGTGGCCCCTTAAAAGAAAATATAGGTGTTGTTGGTAAAAGCAGGAAGTAGATGATGGTGACCTAGCCAACATTTGCTCCCTACAGCTCACATATCTGAATCTCTAGAAGTCTGACCAGTGGATTTGCATTTTTACCAAATTTCCCAGGTGATAAATATTGTCATTACAGTTGAAGAATCACTCTTTGTGTATAATTTCTGCACCCCTAAAAGCATTTTGCACATAGTTTAAAAGAGGACACTAATATTTGATAATCTTCAGAATAATGTTCTAATGCACTAGAAAGAGAGGGGGAGAATAGCCACATTTGTGTTCCAGTGGTGTTTGCCCCTTTCTGATCTGTAGGGATATCTCAAACCTTCAGGGCAGGTGACTGAGTAGGAAAAGCCCATGAAATAGCCAATTATTTTAACCAGAGAAACACCACTTTTAGCTGGATGACATTTTTAGTTTCCATGTGAAATTACACCTTTAGAAATTATTCTGTGTTTAGGTGGGGACATGTCTAAACATTCTGGATCACCCATTTTGAAGATATAAAAACTTAGGCACAGAGAAGCAAATCCAGGACCACTTATAAATTCAAGTCCTCTGACTCTCAATCCAGTGCTCCTTCAAGCTTGGATTCTAGAATCCTGAAGAATACAGGGAATGGAATCTCACCTTAGAGAATTCTTTTGTCTTAGGTAGGTTGCCCCTTCCTGCTAAGATGCACCACAAATGGGATTCTGCCTCCTGGTCATGAATTATCCCATCTTTGCTAATGCTCTGATCTGTTTGCTTGCTTATATAAAATGCAGCCCATCCACATGTGAGTGGAAATACTGATCAAATTGCAAAGGTGTAAGAGATAGGGAGGGAAGAGTTGGGAACTTACCTCTCTTTGAGCACCATGATCAAAGAGCCACTAGTCAGATAATATCACTAGGTCTGGGTATCTGCCTTGTTTAGACTTTGTTCTCATGGATGTTTCTTTCAACTGACTTTTATTCAAATCGATAAAGGAATTGCTGAGATTGTCCAACTCAACAATTTATAAAAGGGTTTCTCAAACTTAGCACTGTTGGGAAACTTAGCACTGTTCTCAAACTTATTCTAGGCCAGATGCTCCTTTGTTATAGGGTGGACCTGTGCACTATGAGATGGTTAGCAGTATCCCTGGCTTCTACCCACTAGATAACAGTAATATCACCATTCCTCCCAACCTCAGCTGTGACAACCAAAAATATCTTCAGACATTGTCAAATGTTGCCTAGGGTTGTTGCCAAATCACCTCCAGTTGAGAACAACTGATGTATACAACTAACTACACCTCACTCTACAGAAAATATGCAATTTTGTGTAGTGGATAAAGTAAAATTGGATCTTTGCCCCCACTTATTCAGTATAAGGATCTGAAGATTGCTATTAGCTAATTAAGCTAAGAATGTTGTTCAGTATTTGTCCTCTTGTGCATGTACCATGATGTCTAGCTAGGGTCAGGACGTCTACTGTTTGCTAAAGAAGGTTTGTTTCTAAATTACATTCGTATCTTCCTTTGGGACAAGAATACTTTTTGATTATTGAGTTTTCATGAATTAATTTCTACAAAACATTATTTCCAATGCTTTCTGCAAAATACTGATTGTAGCTGTGATATTCCACTGTATCTCCCCAGTCCAAGGTTTCTGCCTCTGCATCTATATTTGTTCACACAGTGGCTTTGTCTGACGCAATTGACAGTACCTGCCACATTGTGCCTTATGAGTTGGCTATGTTTGTGCATGGTTGAGAAGAAAGAAGTTTAAACCAACTTTGGAAAAGAAAATTGCCAGCTGCTTAGAGAGCATTCTGAGAAACTGATCCTCTGGTGAACATAAATATAGGCCACAGGTAACTTCTGGCAATGCTCTTGAACACTGTCCAGCAAAGGCAACACAGAACTAACTCAGGACATTACTCTTGCCTACATTAAGCTCCACCATATGGATTCTTCTCACTCTTGGAAATGTTCTTTTCTACTTCTTCCCACTCTTCTTCTTTCTTTCTATAGTATTTATTTAGTGCTTGAAATATTCTTGGCACAGCCCAGGCCCTGGAGTTGTAAGTTGAATTAGGCTGGGTTCCCCCTCAAGGTTCATCATAGTAGACAGAATTATGAATAGTAACAGATGGATCAACAGGTTACTCTTACATTACAGAGAAAGGACACCAAATCGTTTCTGAAGACCTAGTACATATTTTTCACAGACCAGACAGAGATTTAAATGTAAAGATTTACCAAGCATTAAATAATATTATATAGTTGTGTGACAGAACATACTGAGGTTAAAAAAAGATTTGGAAATGTATGGTATTTATCATGAAGAGTATGTTTCTCAAATATTTGGTTAGAGGAAGGGCAGTGATATGGAGATTGTTAGATGGGAGAAGATGAAACTGGAAAGGACTGTTTAACAGACCCAAGCAAGAACCATAAATATCCATGGGAAATTATAAGGCAGGGGGTGACATCAGAGATATAATTTTAGAGACATAATTATAGCATCATATGGCAGGTTAGAAAGGCTAAGACAGAAGGAAAGGAAGAACATTCAATGTAATAATTGCTCAACAATTCAAGTAACACTTGATGGTACCTAAACGGAAGCCCCAGGAGTGGGGCTGTCACAAGAGTGTGAATCTGTGTGATAAAATGTTTGGGGCTTTGCAGCTGATTGCTTGAAATGGTGAGGAGAGGAAAAGAAGTGGAGATGGCTCCCAGGCTTCAACCCTAGTGATCTGAGAGAAAGTAAAGTTGACAAACTATATTCGGTCTTCTAGTGTCTATGGGCTGTTCATGGTGTAAACGTTTGATATTAATTGATTGAGATGGGTTTTCACTCTTGTTGCCCAGGCTGGAGTGCAATGGCGCGATCTCAGCTCACTGCAACCTCTGCCTCCCAGGTTGAAGCAATTATCCTGTCTCAGCCTCCAAAGTAGCTGGGATTACAGGCACCTGCCAATAAGCCCGGCTAATTGTTTTTTGGTATCTTTAGTACAGACGTGGTTTCAGGACGTTGGGCAGGTTGGTTTCAAACTCCTGACCTCAACTGATCCACCTGCCTTGGCCTCCCAAAGTGCAAGGATTACAGGAATGAGCCACCGCACCTGGCCACGTTTGATAATTATTAATGGTACAGTGTCACAGGCCAATGAATACCATGTAGACTCAGTCTCTTACCAAATCGCAGTTTTGAAAAATTCCTGTGATTCTACTGCTTTTCACTTTGACAACGAGAGTTCTCTGAAGCACATCACAGAAGTTCTTCTACTTCATGCACAGGTTTCTCAAGAGGCTCTTTCTGAATTAATTATCTGTGTCATCTCAGTGATCCAAAGAACTTTATATTTAGTGACTGTGTACTTGCTAGAGAGACATCTTCTATGTAGCTATACATCAAAGGCCAAATAGACAACTGGGGCTCACTCCGCTTTGTATTAAGGAAATGCTACAAATTAGCAGAGAAGGGAATAGGCTTGGCAGTTCTGTATTTTGATTTTTGGTTATGGAAATGTGGACATGTCTAATTTTGCCAGCCTCAGACTGACTTTTCGGAGATATTTTTTGGGTTTAGGTTTGATGTTCACCCACCAGTAATGCATATCACATTTCATCCTTACTTTCCTAGCACCATGATTTGATAGAAATGATAGAAATGCAGAAGCTTATGAAAACAACCATTTCAATTCCCTCCTTTATAGATAAGAGACAGTAATCAGAGAAAAAGTGTTTTTTTCCAAAGTAATGCAAAGGAGAATATTAAATAAAGAGAATAATCGGACAAATAAGTGTCAGGGCTAGTTTTGCCTTCTAAGATTTAAAACAAACAAAAACATGGAGGGCTATAATGGGTTAGAGAGGTGTTTAAGTCTGGGATGTTTAAGTATTTATTGGGAATGCTCAGGAAAGGTAGGTGTTAAGGGTCAGGCAAGAAATTATCATCAGAATGATTCTTCCCCAGAAGGGAGTAATGGAGATTCATGACATCATGCTTACAAGTTAATTCTAGGTGGCCAGCTCATTCAACATACAGATATTATGTGTTAGCTAGACTGAGAAAGTGATGTAGAAAAGACCTAATGGACAAATGGAAGAATCCATACATATAAGGAAATATTCAGAAGAAAATACAAAGCTTGTGGAATGCTCAATACCCCACCCCACCTATTTTTGGGGACATTCCACCAGAATATTGAGTTCCTGAATTTTGTGGTACCATAATGGCAGGCAGACAGGTGAGAGCCACTTGCAATCACAAAGGTCACTGCTTGGTACTAGCATACTGAGAACTTTCCCACTAAATCTTCCTTCCCTTCTAGATAATGGGGTAGGGTGCTGGGAAGGGGAAAAGGATGTGATTCAGGTGTGTGTTATTGTCTTCTTTTTCCTTTTTGTCTTTCCCCACCTCCCGCAATAATATCATTGAATTACTGGGAGGCTTTTTGCATCCAGTAATCTACATCAAAAATAATTCTCCAAGGAAAAGTATCTCAAGACGCCTGAAGGCAAATTGTCAGGGTCATTAAAATGCTCTGGAACCTCATCACCACTTCAACAAATTGTGTGTGTGTAACATGTATTTATTATGAACAAGTTCTTTGCCACCGTATCTCAGAAGATACACAAACCATAGTGACAAAGGTGCTGGTTTCTTTAGCTTCTACATTTGTGGTGAATAAGAGCAATTTGAGACTTTAAAGTATCAAATAAATGAGTTTCCATGTTGCGAACCCCTAGAAACTAATTGAAATCATGTGTTTTTCTACTTAAAGATTAGCTCTAACAGTGCTTCTGAAAATGAAAAGCAGAAAGTAGCACTCTACTTATTATGGTGTTCCACAGCTCAGCTATGGGTTCCAGAGTGGTCTCTAATGATTGCTGGTTTAGTGAGTGGCAAATCCTATAAATAAGAAAAAGTTCCAAATCACTTTCAGCTTGGCTGCCTCAAATTATGTAGAGTATCTAAGGTAATCTCTGTTTCAGTTTGGAGTTAGGGTTTCAGATGCGTTTGCAGGGAGCCCTCTGACTCAAAGGCAATATGAACACTTAACACTCACCTTGGAGTTCTCCTATGCTTAAGTGAGATTGCCATTTTCTCCTTTGAGTGTGTTAACGAAAAAAGCATGACAGAAAAAAGCTTAAATTTGAAATAATGGCCCTATAGTAGAATCTGCCAATGTCTGCACCACCTACGTTGGCTATTTTCATGTGAAAGGGAGAATGTCACTCCCCCTCCCCGAACCCAACATGCACTCATATTCTGGCACAATGTTTTTCTTAGTGATACAGGAGTTAAGAAGAAATTACTTAGTCAGATACTGAAGGTACGGAAGTCCTCGGTAAGGTTTTCCTTTTAATGAAAAGCAGCCCCAAATCATTTTCCTCTCTAACAAAGGGCAGCCTGTAAAGTCGAGCTGCAGACATAGAAAAGCAAGCTGGGAGCTGGTACGGGTGAATGCCTGCAGGAACTAGGGACTAGACATGTTCAAGATGGCAGCTCCATCTTCCCTTCTCTTCCAGCCACGTTTACAAGAAGGACCAGAAAAGATGGCGCCAGCCAAGGAGTGTTCATTTGCATAATCAGATTAGGGTGAGGCAACCAGCATTTCCTGCATGCTATCTAAACATCATACCTGATTGAACCGAACTGTGAGCCCTAGAAAATCAGACACTGCCTTCTCAAGCTGTACTACAAAATCCAGCGTAACCGCCGCCAGCGGTCTTTCCTGCTCAGAGACCCGTCTTTCTCCATAGAGAGAGCTGTTTCTCTTTCTCTTCTCATCTTCCTATTAAACTTCCACTCCTATATCTCTCGTGTGTGTTCATGTCCTAAATTTTCCTGGGACGAGATGACAAACTCTGGGTGTATACCCCAGACAACACAGCTGCTTCATTAAATGCACACCAAAATTAATCCAGAGAATGTGTCTATATATATTGCTATTTTATCAAACTCATTTTTAGGCAGTTTACTAACTTTAAGAACAAATAATTTTAAAACGGTGGAAACACACAAACATGCTGTATTAGTCTGTTCTCACACTACTGTGAAGAAATACCTAATACTGGGTAATTTATAAAGGAAAGAGGTGTGACTCACAATTCTGAATGGCTGGGGAGACTTCAGGAAACTTGCAATCATGGCAGAAAGCAAAGGGGAAGCAGACAACTTCTTCACAAGGTGGCAGGAGAGAGAGAGAGAAGGCAACGAGGAAGAGAGTCTTATAAAACCATCAGATCTCGTGAGAACTCACTCACCATCAGGAGATCAACATGGGGGAAACCACCCCCACAATCCAATCACTTCCCTCCCTTCACACATGGGGATTATAATTTGAGATGAGATTTGGGTGGGGCATAGAGCCAAACCCACACACACATAGAAAGCAGAATGCTGTAAAGCATATGAAAATAACCTCTGGTTTTGTCTGTTTCTTTAAAAGGGACCCTAGTTCAGTATATCCTACTAACAATTTTAAGTCTGCCTTTGCATTTAATTTCTTACTGAGCCCCACAATGTACCAAACTTCATCACCCGTAAGGCCCAGGTGTCTCCTGTTCAATCTTAGCTTGAGACGTTTTGCATTTTTCATTTAGAGCTCGTCTATAGGCCTCAGTTTTCCTATTTATAAAATAACAGATAAGACTCAGATGGTCCTAAGGTCACTTTTTGCTATGGTCTGAATGTGTTCTCTCAAATTCATGTTGAAACTTAATCCCCAATGAAATAGTACTAAGAGGTGGGACCTTGAGGAGGTAATTAGGTCATGAAGGGTCTTCCCTTGTGAATAGGATCGGTGCCCTTATAAAAGAGGCTCTATCATTTGTGTTTCTTTTGAACTATAGTTACAAAGGGCTTGTTCATAACATATCATGCATATACCACATATACAGACACACACACACACATTTGTTGAAGGAGTAATGGGGTTCAAGAGCACTTTAGTAACCCATCTGCCTTTTTGGTCATGTGAAGACGCTGCCAGAAGATGCCATCCATGGAACAGGTCCTAACCAGACACTGAACCTGCTGGCACCATGACCTTTGGCTTTCCAGCTTTCAAAACTATGGGAAATGCATTTTATTAGATATAAATTGCTCATTATATGGTGTTTTACTAAGGCAGCCTGAATGAACTAATACACTCGTTCTCAGATCTAAATGTTTATTGTGACATTCCAGGACTTAACTTTGGTTCAAATCTAAACTTTAGAGACTATATTAGCTCAAAATTATTCAGTAGTTTTCAAAAAATTCCATAAAGAGGTTCCCATCGACTTACCTAAATCCATCTCCTGCTTATTCCCAGGAAATTCTCACCATTTCAGGTAGGCTAATGTCAGTCTCAAAACACATTCAGCTGACTCTAATCTCTGAATCCTCCAGCATCTTGGCAGCTGCTTTATTTATCAGATGCACCTGAGTTTAGATCCTGACTCAACCACTTCCCAGCACTGTTGTCTTTATTTAACCTCTTAATCCTGTTTTCTTACATACAAAACAAGGTTGTTTACATGCTTGCTACTCTAACTATGATCTTCACTCCAGGATTATCAGAATTATGTAAGAGCTTGTTAGAAACACAGAATATCAAACTCAACCCCAGAACTTCTGAATCATAATCTGAATTTTAACAAGAATCACAAATGATTCTCATGGATATTAAAATTAGAGAAGCATTGTTTTATATAACTCTATCTAATAATGCAAAGAAAAGTGCTTATAATTATTCCTAGCAGATACTAAGCACTCATTAAACACTGTTATGCTTATTAACTCAGTAAACTGAGTTAATTAACTGAGTAAATATTAACTGGTCATAATCCTTAGAACATCAAGGTAGACAGAACTGAATAATTTGGATAATAAGAGCAATGTCTATAGCATTATAATTTCCACTGTCAAAAATGAAAACTTCACAAACGTCATCAATAACTGATCTTTAATAAAGACACTAAATGGACTTGAAAAAAATTAGTATGCACTAATGTTTTAGAGAACAAGACACTGAGGCTTAGTGATATTACATATTCAAGAAAGTAGAAAATTCTACAAGGTCTTCCTATCCACGTACAAGTATTTCCCCCACCAAATTCAGCCTTCTGAAATGAAATTCCAAGTAGATGCTGTTCCTGCTAAATGTTGTTTAATGATTCATTAAATGCAACAGATAAAAACCAAAATTTTGTGATCACCTGTTACTCTAGTTTGAATATTTGTGTCCCTTCTGCCAAGTTCATATGTTGAAATCCTAACCTCCAAGATGTTGTACTAGGTGAGGCCTTTGGGAGGTAATTAGATGAGGATGGAGGACACATGCATAGGATCAGTGCCTCCTAAAAGAGACACAGGAGATACCCCCACCAAGATTTCTTTGTCTTCTTCCATATAAGGTTTCATATGGAGAAAAGCTGTCTATGAGGAAGCGGGTCCTCATCAGACATTGTTTTTGTCAGTGCTTTGGTCTTGGACTTCCCAGCCTCCAGAATTGTTATAAATTTCCATTGTTTATCAGCCAACTAGTTTGTGTTTTTCTGTTACAGCAGCCTTCATGGACTAAGACAGTAGTTTAGTTTCATCTTTTGATAATCTCCCCTACCTTCTCCAATGTGCCTTCTACACTATCCCAATAAGTCACTGTGATTCATGCTTCTATCACTTTATACAGGAAATTTGCATCCTTTAAATGATTTACTTTTTGATAAACTGCAGATATCCTACTTCCTTAAGGCCCTTCTTGCATGTTGCCTTCTCTGTGAAGAAATCTATGCTTCCTAGGAAGGCTTAGTTCTTCTGTGACTGTAATGGGGCATAACTTATTCTCTCTTTCTAGGTGCTGATGGCACTGTGTTGGAATTGCTTGCTTACCTATCAGTTTCCCTCAGTAAATGATGCACTCAATAAGGGAAAGTTCATTTCCATCATTTCCTTGGCTTAAATTCCGATTACTGTTTGGCACAGCAGTGGATCTCAAACATCTATGTTAATAAGAAGCACCCACAGGCTTATTAACACACAGCTTGCTGAATCACAACTACAGAGTTTCTGATTTTGTAGGTCTGGAATAGGGCCTGATAACTTGCATTTCTAGGAAGATACTAGGTGATGATGATACTGTTGGTGCAGACACTTTGAGAACGATTGACTTAAATTAGAAACTCAGTGAACTCTGTAGTAAACATAAATTGATATGGAAGTGCTTACACACCCTGTACCTGATGTCAGATAGATCTGAGATCAAATCTTTGATCTTCCAATTATCAATTCTATATATTAAAAAAAATAGATTCAGGGGTACATGTGCAGATTTGTTACATGGATATATTGTGTGATGCTGAGGTTTGGGCTTCAGCTGAACCTGTCACCTAATGAATGTAGTGTCCCATAGGTGGTTTTTCAATGCTTGCGCCTCTCCCTCCACCTTTTGGAATTCCTAATATCTATTTTTCCGTCTTTATGTCCACTTGTACAAAATGATTAGTTCCAACTTTAAGTAAAAACGTGTTATTTGGTTTTCTGATTCTGTATTAAATCACTCAGTGTAATGACCTCCATCTGCATCGAGGTTGCTGCAAAGGACATGATTTCATGCTTTTTTATGGCTACATAGTATTCCATGGTATATATGTCTGCTTAGTATTCCATGGTGTATATATGCCACATTTTATTTATTCAATCCACTCTCGATGTGCTCCTATGTTCACTCAATATCTCTGCTCCTGTTAATAGGGTTGCAATAGACATATACATGTTTTTGTGTGTGTATAGTGTTGTTCCTCAGAGCATTTGTTTTCTATGACTGCATAACAAATTGCCACAAATGTAAGGGTTTAAAACACGTTTATTACAGTTTGGAAGTTCCTCAAAAAAGTAAACATAGTGTGATGGTTAATACTGAGTGTCAACTTGATTGGATTTAAAGATGCAAAGTATTGATCCTAGGTGTTTCTGTGAGGATGTTGCTGAAGGAGATTAACATTTGAGTAAATGGGCTGGGAAATGCAGACCCTCCCTTAATCTAGGTGGGAACCATCTAACCAGCTGCCAGCGTGGCTAGGATATAAAGCAAGCAGAAAACTGTGAAAAGACTAGACTGGCCTAGCCTCCCAGTCTACATCTTTCTCCCATGCTGGATGCTTCCTGCCCTCAAACATCAAACTGTAAGTTCTTCAGTTTTGGCACTCAGACTAGCTCTCGTTGCTCCTCAGCTTTCTGACAGCCTATTGTGGGATCTGTGAGCTTGTGAGTTAATACTTAATAAGCTCATATATATCTATATATATATATATAGATATATATATATGTATCTCCTATATATATATATATCTCCTATATATACTTAATAAACTCCTATATATATGATATATATCCTATTAGTTCTGCCCCTCTAGAGAATGCTGACAAATATACATAGAATTTCCATATAATGTAATAATTCTACTCCTAGTTAAATAATCAAATCTATTGAAAGCAAGGACTCAAACAAATACATGTACACATATTCATAGCAACACTATTCACAATAGCCAAAAGGAGAAAGCAACTCAAACGGGCATTGATGAATGAATCAATAAAGAAAATGTTTTATATCCATATGAAGTACTGATATATGCTACAATGCCAGGAAGCCTCAAAAACAGGAAGCCAAGCAAATGTAGTCAGACACCAAGGTCATGTAGTGTATGGTTCTATTTATATAAAATATCCAGAACAGGTAAATCTATAGATACAGAAACAAATTATTCGCTTCTAGGGGCTGGCAGGAGGCGGATGAAGAGTGACTGTTTAATGGGTGCAGAGATTCTTTTTGGGGTGGTTAAAATGTTTTAGAAATAGTGGTAATGGTTGTACAACATGAGTGTACTAAATGCCACAGAGTTATATGCTTCAAAATGGTTAACTTTATGTGAATTTTACCTCAATTAAATATGATTTAAAACATCCATTTATTTTCTTACAGTTTCTGTGGGGCAGATTAGGAGCTTGGGCACATTTTAGCTGATTATTCTGCTCAAGGTCTTAAAAAACTTCAACTAAGCATTAGTCAGGCTGAATTCTGATCAGAGGCTTGATTGGGGAAGAATCTTTTCCCAAGCTCTCTTAAGTTGTTGGCTGAATTTATTTCTTTGTAGCTGTAGAATTAATGGCATTTCACTTCTTCAGGACCAGTAAGAGAATAATTCTGGCTTCTCTCCCCCAGTCTGAGCCACTTGGCTGCATTGCAGTATACTTTTGAGATTCTGTACCATTACTTAAGCTCCTCTGTAGTATACCCACAAAATTGGTATTCATCCTTCAATACTGACATGTAGGCTGTAGCTCATGTATCTGTGATCTCAAGATGACCAATCATTACCTCTGCTTAAGTACTACACATCAAATTGAATTATAATCATTTGTCTAGAGCCTTTCTACCTAGAATGCTAAGTTCTGGTAAAAAGTATATCTTGTCTTCTTCATATGCTGAATAGCTGGCACTCTTTTCAGAATTCACTTGATTAGGTAAGACACAACCAGGATAATTTCCCTTTTGATTAAGTCAAAGTCAAATGATTTGAGACCTTAATTACAGCTGAAAAGTTCCTTCACCTTTAGCAAATCACAGGATCTGCCTACACTCAAGGGGAGAGAGTTATATGGGGGTCACCTTAACACATAAATGCTACACGAACTTCCCAATGTTTAAAGTGAGAAAGTAATAGGTCTTTCATAGGAGTTCAATGACACATAGTCAGCACAGGGCTGGCATATAGTGAATGCTTAATAAATATGAGTTACCATTATAATTATTTATCTCATTTATCATGCCACTTATCCTTACACAATTCTTCCTATTATGTATTCATTTTAACTCTAATGAAGTAATTGATGCCAAAAAAGAAAACCTAATCATGATTATTAGATATTAGAGCTGAAGAGCAGAGACCAAACACACCTGACTCCAGTGCTTCAAAATATATTTTCAGGAAAAAAAAAATAGCATCTTAACCCCTGCAAGGAAGTGACAGGTGGGCTGCTAAGGAGATGTGTGGGAGTTTTCTGAGGATGTCTGCAGTCAGAATGTATCTTGGAGAGGGCTTTAGAGAAGCGATTTTTCACCTGAATAATGGTGGCAATCAAATCAATGAGAGTTGATAGTGCTGTTTGATGCAGCTGCCTGATGGGTGCTTCCCCCTGAGGGCCTTGGTAAGCACTTCCAAGCTATTGTTCCTGAGCCTTGTGCTATTACTTGTCTCTGAATAATTGCAGTTTTTTCACTGCCAGTATCAGCAGCATATTCTGATTATTCATAGAACATAGGCAGCAGGTGGGTGAGGAGATGGAACTGGCCCATTTCTAAGCAGGAGGGAGTCCTGTGATGAGGTTGGATATGCATGGACTCTAGATCAAACAGACCTGGTTTCTATATTCATTTGTTTATCACCATCAAGCTATATTGTTGGAAAATTTTATGACCTAGGTAAACCTCAGCTTCTTCATCTTTCAAATAAAAATAACAATTTCTAAGTTTTAGCATTGTCTTCCACAAAACATGGCTGATTGCAGGTAGCTATTTTGCTGTTGTTGCTATTGTTGTTACTATCAGGGTTATTAAAATACCTAACACTTAGCCAGGTGCGGTGATTCATGCCTGTAATCCCAGCACTTTGGGAAGCCAAGGTGGGCAGATCACCTGAAGTCAGGAGTTCGAGAACAGCCTGGACAACATGGTGAAACCCCGTCTGTACTAAAAATACAAAAATTAGCCAGGCATGGCAGCATGCTCCTGTAATCCCAGCTATTCAGGAGGCTGAGGCAGGAGAATCGCTTGAACCTGGGAGGCAGAGGTTGCAATGAGCCAAGATCGTGCCACTGCACTCCAGCTTGGGCGACATAGTGAGACTCTGACTCAAAAAAAAAAATCAAAATAAAATAAAATAAAAATACGTAGCACGAAGCCTATCATGGTTAAGTGTCAGTGATGATCACCATTTATGCAAAGGCTCAGATGAAGCAAAAGGATTGAGTAATGTTAGCTTTCCTGAAAGCCATGACCTTCAGCCATGCTACAAGTCAGAATCCCTGCTTAAATTGTGAGCCCACAACAAACTATTTAATTTATGCTAGTTGCATCATCTGTAAGATTGTGAGGTCACAGGGCCACTATAAGGATTGAAGAACTTGATCCAATAGTTTTCTTCACAAATGCCTAGTATAAAGTGTGCAGTGGAGGTGAGATATTAAAGAAGGATTAAGAGGGAAAAAGTAAGAATTTGAAATTATTATTCTCCCTCCATAATGTAAAATCTTACCCATTTGATTCTATTGTAGTACACTTTTGATGCTCTGTACTTAAGTTCCTCCTTAAGCTCCTCTCTGTAGTTGACAGCAGCAGCAGCCCATATGTTGGGGGCACTGCAAAGACACCAGCTGCAGCGAGGGAGAAGTGACTGGAGCTGAGTGCTCTGCAGAGCCAGTGGGAGCCAGAAACAGGCAGGAGCCCTGCCCACTTCAGAGTTGGCATGACAGGGGCCTCATCCTTCTGGGTTCAGCTGCAGCCACCTAGCCGTGGCCATGGACCCAGGCATCCCTACACTACTGGGGGCCCAGGAAGACCCCCCTCCCCCTACAGGCTCAGAAGTGGCTATGCCCAATCCCTGGCTTATCCCTGTTCCCAGTGCCAGCTCCAATTTCAGAGCAAAGTTGTGGTCAAGCCCAGGCACTATTGTGACCTGACCAGGTGTGCCCATGTTTGGGGTGGCACTGACACGCCAGCCCCCTACCACCTTGGCCACCTCCAGACTTTGGGTTTGGGGGGCTGAAGGTAGCTCAGCACTGGCCTGCAGGTGCCCTTTGGCATGAACAACTTGGGTGCTGCAGATGACATATAGATGGCAGCAGGAGGGAGACAGGCTCCTGGGCAGAAAGGGGCAGGTCTCTGCTGAAGCCCCACCTTCAAGCCAGGGATAACCTGAAGCATGGGGGCCCAACTGTCGATTCTGGGTGGAGCCTGTGGCCTGGAGTGAGAACTTATGGTGCTTTTTTGGGCCCACCCATGGCTGCCCGTGGATCAGTCAGCATGCACTTCTTCTGAAGCTCATAAAAACCCTGGACGCAGCCAGACTCAGGCAGACAATGGGACGACCTGCCTGCAGATAGGGACTACCCTCTCTGGGTCTCCCCTCTGCTGAGGACTGCACACTCCTCAGGACAACCTGCCTTTGGAAAGTAGCTACCCACTTTGGGTGTCCTTGGAGCTGTACTGTTGCTCAATAAGACACCTCTTTGCCTTGGTCATCCTCCAGTTGTCCATGTACCTCATTCTTACTAATGTGGGAAAAGAACTTGGGGCCCACCGAATGGTGGGACTGAAAGAGGTATAACACAAACAGAGCTGAAACATGTACACCCCCGTCCCCCAACTCACCACACTGTGGGCAACAAGAAGTAGAGAAGAGCTGGGGCTCCCTGAGCCAGGGCTGTGCCACCCTCTTTGGGGCTCTGTGGTTTCTGGCATCTCCAAGCTTCTGGGCACCATTGTGTTCCCCTCATCCAGACATGGGTGCCCACAGCAGAAGGCATTTTGGTGCATCTGTTCCAGCCACAGGCTTGCACAGAGCTGGCACCTGTGCTGGTGCCTGTAGCTGCCTGCCCCCCACAGCAGCTGACATGCCTGGCTGTGACAGGAGCCGGACCCTGCTCTCATTTGCTCAGGCACCCCTCACCATTCTGCACCTGGCTCCAGTCTTCAGAGGTGTGGGATGCAGGCCAGTATCTTGAGTTGAGTGTAGCCTGCCAGGCCGATTGGGCAGAATGAGCCCAGTGGGCTCAAGCAAAACTAGGGCAAAGGTCCGACTGGTCACAGAGGTTTCCAGCTGGAAGAGTGACACCCTAAGGATCCTGTGACATAGTCATCCAGAGAATTTGTATTCATCTTTCAACACTGACATTCTCCATGCAGGTTTTGGCTTATATGTCTGTGCTTCCAAGACAACCAACCACCACCTCTGCTTAAGTACTACACACCACATTCAATCACAATCATTTGTTTATAATCTGCCTTCCCATCTAAAATGCTAATATCTGGTAAAGGTGATAACCTGTCTTTGTTATACACTCAACAACTAGCACAAAATCCAACTAGTAATAGTTGCTTTATATATGATTGAAAGTAAAGTGAGTGATTGAATAAATGAACACATAAACAAAAATAAATGAATGTTCTCTGACATTATTACTCTGCAAAGGTATCTTTGCCAAACAAGCGTATCTGGTAAATGAGAATTGTAATTCCCGTTTGCACACAGGAATTATTTTGAAACTCCTTGAGTGATGGCTTTATGAAAACAATACTCCTCCCTCAAATTTCTTTTTAAAACTCCATTTTGATGAAAAACATTTTCCCAGTTTTACAACATTCTCTCCACAGCTCTGTTTTCATTCAGCACTAATAAATCCAACAATAAAACAAATAATTTAAGAAAGGAACAAAATATTTCCTGTTATTTTTGTATGTCATTTATGAATATACTCATTTCTTATTTACTGGGTTAGTTGATTTTCAAGAATTCCAATCCTTGTTCCAAGTTGCTCATTATTTAAAAGTACACAAGTTCCCTATTCTTTTTCCGCCTTTCCAGAACTTTCCCAATATAAAATCTTTTAAAGGTATCTGTGAGACCAAACTATTGCTTCCTAAGACCTGATTCATGCCTAAAGCAAAAAAAAAGGAGGCAGCCAGCATGACTTAGAAGACACGGGGATTCTGTGGAAAATCACTTGGTGAAAAATATAAAGAAAACTGTGTAAATGCTTTTGGCTCATTGATTGGAGTCCAAATTAATGGATGCCAGTTCAAATGAGCAGACTCTGGTGATTGGTAGGGAATTAAGTGGGTCATAGTGAAGGAAGAAGAAAAAAAGGAAGAAATAAACATATAAAACTGGGAGCCTCAGAAAGAAAATGGAGAAATACCATTTCTTAGGTACTTACTATGTGTGAGGCATCATTCTTGTCTTTGGGTATTTAACACACACAGATAAACATCTAAATAGCATAAGGCCATCTACTCACTGCCTCAAAATTTATATCTCGCTATAGGCAACTGTTTCTGAACTATTGCGTGAAACATCCATAATGTATTTTTCTGTGGAATTTTTTTTCCATTTCCTTTTATTATCCCTCTGCTCTGATTGATATTTCCTGTTTCCATGGACTTTCTCCTTTTAGCTACACCTTCTCCTATCTGAAACCTGAACTCAGGGGTCAAGTTTTCCAGAATATCTTGCCTGTCCAATCACCTTATCTTTTTTTTAGCCATAATAACCTGTGTGTGTGTTCTGCTGCATATGATATTTTGTGTCTGCCTTTCCAGTCACTGAAGAATGATAGCTGAATAAATGAAGGAAAGGTTGAATGAGGGCTCTGATTTTATCCTTCATAGAAAACCTATAGAAGAGGTGTTAGCTTCTGAATCTTACAGATGATGAATTAATTATTAGTATCATCATCAACTCCAGGATTCAAAGCCTTATCTATTAGAAATATCGTTCCTGTTCTTGACACTCAGCAACACTATAATTGTTTAATTAAAATACAACCATATAAAGGAGAAAATAGTTATTGCTTGGGAAGAATAGTTACACCAAGAAAAAACAACATAGATCTTACAAGGAAAACCAGGATAATTTTTGCATTCTTAATGAGAAAAAGCGAAAGAAAGAAAGGAAGTAAACATTTCTGATCCATCAGAGAAGTGAAAATGCATTCTGTGTAATGAAATCTGTGTATATCACACATGCCAGGAAGACACGTCAGAATAAAAGCTACAATCCATCCAAAGTGTTATAAACTCTCTCTTGTGCTCCTATTAATAGCACTCTTAGATGAAAGGAAAAGAGCAATGGCCTTGGATCTAGATGAAATGAATTCATTCGTCAGACCTGATGAGCCCAGCCCAACTGGCATTTTTAACAGTGTGTCCTTGGACATGTTACCTAAAATCTCTAGCCTTAGTTTCCACATCTAAAACTGGACATCATATCAACCTGCTAGAGCTGTTGTAAAATGTATATTAGATAATGGATATAAAACACCCAGCACACTACTGGCACCTATTAAATACTCGGTATTTAATAATGATGATGATAATGATAACACCAAAAGTAATGGCATCTCACCTCCCTGAACTACAATGTCTTTAAGTGAATGTTTTTCATAATTCAAAGGATTTTAGGGAGTATCCTAAATGATGATGAATTCATTGTAAGTCAAGCTATGCACACACAGGATAATGACATTCTTCAGCACTCAAGTACTATGGTGACTTTCTGCTATTGTTGAGAGAGTGAGCCCAGGGGACCAGGAAGGCTTGATGTCTGTCTTGGTTTATCAGTACCTTCTTACCATGAAGAGGGTGATGTAAGCACAAAGGAAACCTGGACCATTTTATTATTATTAGATTATTAGCTCAGGCTTATTCTTTAAACCCTTGCACAAAAGCTCTCTGAAAGGGAGCAGTTGGTCTCACTCTAACCCTAGATAGAAAGGACTTCTCCTTTCTGCTATGTCCAAGTGATACTAGCAAGGACCGCTCGAATGCTCAGAGAGCATCCTTATTTATTTGAACGTAAGAGGAGAGGGAAAGTAAAGCCAAGTCTTTTTGACATTTCAAATCTCTTCGTTTTACCTTCTTATTGACCTTCCTAACATATCATCCAAAGGTTGTGTTCCCTGGGAAGCAGATTCTAGGACAGTGTTAGAGGCACAAAAGGTTTAGAGGGGGTCATTCTGTGAAGGGCATGGGAGGAAGGATGAGTGGGCAGGGGAAGGTGTCAGATCACAATACAGACCTGAAGAAAATCTCTGGCAACCTAAACAAGGAAGTCTGGGTCAAAGATCATCCATCAGAGGAATCCTGTATCGAATGAAAATGGCTGGGTTTTGTACCATTGCCTTCTTCAATAATTAGATGAAAGCCCCAGGAGGGAGTGTGTTCTGGGCTAGATAATTGCTGAAGCAAACCCCGAAAATGCTGCCGACTGAAGATTGTTAGCTAACACAGTCCTTGCAGTTGGACAGTAAGTCTTTCCTTGAAGAAGAATATGAGTGGCACATCTCAGTATCTGCCATATAAATAGTGACCCCCACATAGCACTTAACAACATAGTCATAATTGATATTCACACTTCCAAAGGAAAAACTTGCCAACAAGGAGCAGAAATTGTTTCTTCTCTTCACCTCTTAAAATGAACAACATGGCGATGGTGACAGTTAATTCTAAAGTAACTTTATTTGCTCTAAATTGTGTGCTTCTGCCAGAGGACCTTTCTATATACTTTCAAAGTACCTACAGGATAAAATAAATTCAAAAAATTAAATTGCCCTATGTTAAGTATCTGGAAATTAATAAGAAAAAAATGAAAAGACCACAGCATTAATTCTACTCTGACACCGTTTCTGAATCATTCTTGGGATAGATATTTTCTCCAGGGGTTAAGTAAGTAGGAGAGAATGAATGAAAAGCTGTAGTATACTAGATAATTTGGAATAATAAATTTAAATTTTCAGTGAACATGAACTATTCCAATTAAGTTGTACATTTAATCATCTGCATCCTTTCTTAAAATAAAATATTTAAGCCTCTTTCCTCCAAAAAAGTCAGTTTTC
Organism: Homo sapiens; assembly: GCF_000001405.40. Lineage (NCBI taxonomy): Eukaryota > Metazoa > Chordata > Mammalia > Primates > Hominidae > Homo > Homo sapiens. The sequence continues at coordinate 64,238,326 of NC_000016.10, forward strand.
CTCAGAAACCCACTGAAGCCTGAACGGTGAAATATGAGGAGGCACTCAGTCATGAATTCTACCAGACAGAGAGACAAATAATCCCACATAGTTTCATTTAATCAACTAAACCCATTTTAGAAATGTTGGGTTGGGGCACTAAGTCAAGCTGGAGATTACACATGTCAGCAGAGTTAATGGCCTTTCTCTTTTGAGAAATTGCCATGGGGACAGAATTACATTTAAACTTGTGGCTGGGTTAAGTAAGAAAGTATTTAATTTAGCATATACCATATTACCCAAGTGCACATTGAAATAATCAATTCATCAATCAACCTTTTATTGAGCACCTATTAAGTGTCAGAAGGAATGCTAGGCTTAGAGGCCCACAGGGAAGCATCAGTAAATTAAGAGAATTAAATGCTAGGATATGATGCACATGACTCACTGACTAGTTAGCAAAGGCTGATTCACTCCCATTGCCTAAAGCTTTCCAAAAAAAATGCCCATAAAAAAATGTGACTCTTTCAAATTTACAACACTGATAGATATGCAAATTGTTCAAATATCTTTGAGGAAATTACCATGAGTTACACTGTAAAGAGGCTCAACTGAGAAGAAACCTGAGGTTGACTTTGTACAGATCCATGGTCCATCAACTAAAGAGTCAATCAATAAACCAGTCCCAACTTACACACTCTTCTCCTCTCTTGTTTCATTATGAAAACTACTAACCTAAGTGCTAGAAGTGAAGGGGCTGAAGATTGGAGGCTACATTCTGCAATATAAAGTCATATAGATTTGCAGATAGAAAGGGAGCAGAAGGTAATGGAAAAGATGTAAGAAATTCTGGGAACTGCGTTTCCTCATATATTCTTTCAGTTGGAGAACAACTAAGAACAGCTTTAAATTATAGTTTTTAAAAATCACCTTCGTTCATACATGAGTTCTATCAGGCAGAAATAATAGCTATACCACCTATGCATCATCAATTAGAAGAACCAGAGTAGATTTTTGCTAAAGCCCAAAAGAGCCTCACCTGACTTTGCCTGGGAAATCTAAATGACAAGATACGCTTTAACTGAGCATCTGAGAAATATATTCTAAAGACCTAGATGTTTATAAGGGCGGACATAAGGGAGAAACACACCTGTAAGTCAAACAGGGAACAAACAATTTCGCAAGTTAAGCACATATACATGTTTCATTCAATAGATGAAAAGAGATCTAACACCTAAGATTTAGCTTGAAAAGTCACATTTTTCGGCAGGCGCTGTGGCTCACGCCTGTAATCCCAGCACTTTGGGAGGCCAAGGAGGGTGGATCACGAGGTCAGGAGATCAAGATCATCCTGGCTAACACGGTGAAACCCTGTCTCTACTAAAAATACAAAAAAAATTAGCCCGACATGGTGGCGGATGCCTGTAGTCCCAGCTACTCGGGAGGCTGAGGCAGGAGAATGGCGTGAACCCGGGAGGCAGGGCTTGCAGTGAGCCGAGATCGCGCCACTGCACTCCAGCCTGGGCAACAGAGCAAGACTCTGTCTCAAAAAAAAAAAAAAAGAAAAGAAAAGAAAAAGAGAATGAAAAGTCACAGTTTTCAAATAACAAAAGCTTGAACTTTTTTAGAAATGGGGGGATTGCAAAATAAGACATTTTTCTCCTAGCTCATAGGCAAGTACATATATTTTAAAGACAATACTTCAATTGTACTTTTTAAAGCCCTTGCTCTCATAGAACATAAGTTTTGGGTCTTGAAGGATGGTTATGGTTTGGCTCTGTGTCCCTACCCGAATCTCATCTCAAATTGTAATCCCCATCTGTCAAGGGAGGGACCTGGTGGGGGGTGATTTGATCATGGGGGCATTTTTCCCCTTTGCTGTTCTGATATGAGTGAGTTCTCACGAGATCTGATGGTTATAAAGTGTGGCAGATCCCTCCTCGCCCCCTCTGTCTCATGCTTTCTAAGACAGGCTTGCTTCCCCTTGGTTTTCCGCCATGATTGTAAGTTTCCTGAGGCTTCCCCAGCCACGTGGAACTGTGAGTCAGTTAAACCTCTTTCCTTGATAAATTACCCAGTCTCAGATGGTATCTTTATAGCAGTGTGAAAATGGACTAATACAAATGAGTGGCCCTCTGTTCAGAGAAAAAGGTGTGAAAATACATACCAAGATTAAACAACATCTAAAAAGAAACTGATTCTTAAACAAAAACGGCATTAAACAAAGAAACAACAACAAAACCACACAGGTCAGAATGCCAGGAGTTAGATCTGTGTGATGGGAGGTAGTAAGAAATACAGTGACCAGATAAGTATAGAGTAGAGGCCAATTCAGAGCCTTAGAATTTAAGTTGCAAAATCTGTTTCTTTCAGGCCAGGAGAAACCACTGATGCTCTGGCCATTGTCTTCTTGGATTTCTGAACAAAGGGGTTTCTTTTGAATCTTGCCACATGACCTAGAAACAAAACTAAAAGTTGAGTAGACTGTTGTCAAGAGAGGTGATGAGGTGTACTCAAAGCCATACAATGAGTTACTGATTTTATTGCCATGGGAAAATCCTTGTAACATTTCTACAATATGCTTAATCATTCTTGAACTATTTCTGCTACAAAAGCATCTGAAACAGTGAAAAAGTCTGTGTGATTTTTTTGTATTTTATGCAAATATATTTTTCTTTTTCTTTTCTTTTTTTTAATAAAATCTGTTACCATCTGTCCTTTTTAAAAAATGTGCTGCAAAAAAGAAAAAAAAGTTTGGATAAGCACCTGGTTATTTGTATCAATTATTGAGCACTTTGGATGTTTTCCATGGATAATCCTAGAAATAGATCATTCTCTAAAGGTTTTTCAATTATATTGTTTATCAACACAGAGTTTCTCATACATATTCTCTGTGAAAAGACAAGGATTAAATATATGAATTAGGCTAGAGTCTGAGACCTGGAGGAGCTGTAGACAAGCCGCATAGGTTTAACAAGAACCTGAGTTTGAATTTGGTCCTTGCCACTAATTGATTATGAGAACTTTGGGTATGATGAATGTCAGCTTTTCACCTAAACGCCCGAGCTCAGCCAGACTCCCCAGTTTCTTCACTGGTATTTATAGATACGTATATAATAAAAACTACACACTTATAGAAAGTTGGGTTAGAATTAGAGCTTTTCCATAGGAATGAGCTAAGCATTATATGGCATAATATGTGTAAAATGCCTTATCCAGTACCTGGAACAGCATGTGTGGTTATAAATGCTTATTCGCATCTCTTGTCATTATGCCTCAACTCCAGTCTCTTGCTAAACTAAGAGCTACTTGTGGACAAGGCATTCATCTTTGTATATGCCTGTATCACAAAGCACATTATCGTGTGCATTGGAATTGCTCAATAACTGGTTATCTATGTAGTAGCTCTTTCAGCCTCAATTCTCTTGTGTGTAAAGTCAGAATGCAAAACATTTTTTTTTTGAAACTGAATTCTTGCTCTGTTGCCCAGTGGTGCAATTCTCCTGCCTTAGCCACCACCCCCTACCCCCACCAAGTAGCTGGGACTACAGGCATGCACCAATATACCTGGCTAATTTTTTTTGTATTTTAGGTAGAAATGGAGTTTTGCCATGTTGTCCAGACTGTTCTTGAACTCCTGGCCTCAAGTGATCCGCCTGCCTCAGCCTCTCAAAATGCTGGGATTACAGGCATGTGCCACCATGACCAGCCGGCATGGAAAAGAACATTCTTTCAAAACTTGAACTGGGAATTTCATGTGATAATGCTTAGACATATGAAACACTCATGTTAAACATTCAATAAATGTTAACCTTGATATAATATAGACGCACCATAGGCCGTAGTTAAAAACTTAGAAGCTAGATTGTCAAACACTAGATGTACGGTTTTGAACAAACCCTTTGAATGATTTGTGCTTCCATTTCTTAACTGAAAATAGGGGGTGATAATAATATCTATATGACAAGATTGTTCGATTTATTATTCAATTAATTAACACAAGCAAGCACTTAGAATAATATCTGATGTACAGTAGGCACTATTTAATATTCCCAATTTTATTACAATCAACTCTCCCATCAAAGATGAATAAATGAGATATCAAAATGCAAACAATCCATTCTTGTTTTGCCTATTGTTTCAGACTCTACAATGGAGGGAGAGAGAGGTGTTTCTTTAGGGCTGGCTGCTTCAATCACCAGATGTTACTCTGTTAGAAAGATGTCTGGTGCCACTTGCTATGAGCACTTGATAACCCCAGAAGATGTTTGCCTTCTGCTGCCTTGGGCTTTTGCAACTGTTCAAATCTCACTTCTCCCTTCCCTTCCGCTCTTCCTTGTCAGTTGTCGCCTTTGGATTCCAAACTGAAGCCAACGTCAGTCACTTTAGCAAACTCGAGTGCTGCTGTGGGCTGTTCTTTGAACCCCTTCCAGCAAGCTCATGGTGTTCATCTGTGCAGAGAGAGGGAGTCTGTGCAAAGAATTCTCCGCACTTGAGAGCTTCCAAGCATTTCCCTCGTGTCTTTGTACATCTCTATTCCAAATTCCTATGTCAGAAAATTGACATTGTCTGAATTTTGAGTAAAATGTAACTTTTGGTGTACCGTGTTTCTTTAAGGGTAAAATATTTCAAATCTTAGTGCAGGATATTTTGTCTCAGTGATACCAAAGTAGGCTTAATCCTGTGTTTTATTTTGGCAGGATTCCTCACTCATCTTATGCTGTTTGAGATATGTTTCAGGGTTTTCTATCTTTTCACAGACACCTACTTTAGAGCTAGTTCTAGCCTCCACTACTTTCTAGCTATGGGCTGGTTTTTTTTAGGACTAATTGATTCATAAATTCAACAAATATTTATTCAATGACAAATATGGCTCAAAACACTTTGATTTTGTGCACTATTGCATCCCCATTACTTAAATATATTTCCTGTGCTTTCAAGGAGCCTATATTTCAGTGAGAATAGATAGACACTAATCAGTATGCACACAAATAAATGTGTAAGCATAAATTAAGTTCATCAAGAATATGAACACAGGCTCTGAAAGCAGAGAATAAGCCTGCCTACACGTGAGAATGGTAGAGAAGACAGCCTGATGAAGTTATATTCCAGGAGAAATCTAAAATCTAAAAGAATCATAAAAATGGCCGGGCGCGGTGGCTCACGCCGGTAATCCCAGCACTTTGGGAGGCCGAGGCGGGCGGATCACGAGGTCAGGAGATCGAGACCATCCTGGCTAACACGGTGAAACCCCATCTCTACTAAAAAATACAAAAAATTAGCTGGGCGTAGTTGCGGCCACCTGTAGTTCCAGCTACTCGGGAGGCTGAGGCAGGAAAATGGCGTGAACCCGGGAGGCGGAGCTTGCAGTGAGCCGGGATCGTGCCACTGCACTGCAGCCTGGGCAATAGAGCGAGACTCCGTCTCAAAAATAAATAAATAAATAAATAAATAAATAAATAAATAAATAAATAAAAAAGAATCATAAAAGTATGAAACTTAAAAGCTGACAATGAATTTAGTATGAGAGTGAAAGTTCGCCAGACAGAGGAGATGTGGAAATTCACAAAAATACACTTGCTGGAAGGAATATGGCCTATCTCAGGATTTGGTAGGTCAGTGAAAAAAGACCAATAATATATCAATGAAATGGAACATCATGAAGGTCAAGTTTGAAGGATGGAGCCTGTCTGGCCAACTCGATTTCAGACTAATAAAAATGGCTCTATAATTCCTGTTAGATTACCAGTTCCTGTTGTGATTTTTTTTTCTTTTTCTTTTCTTTTTCTTTTTCTTTTTCTTTTTTTTAGATGGAGTCTCGCTCTGTCGCCCAGGCTGGAGTGCAGGGGTGCGAACTCGTCTCACTGCAAGCTCCACCTCCCGAGTTCATGCCAGTCTCCTGTCTCAGCCTCCCGAGTAACTGGGACTATAGGCGCCCGCCACCATGCCCAGCTAATTTTTGTATTTTTAGTGGATACGGGGTTTCACCATGTTAGCCAGGATGGTCTCGATTTCCTGACCTCGTGATCCACCCTCCTCGGCCTCCCAAAGTGCTGTGATTACAGGCGTGAGCCACCGCGCCCGGCCCCTGTTGTGAATTTTTTTAAGCCTTGGAACCTTGAGGAAAGAAGAGAGTTGTTTCTTAAGACCACCCAAATTCTCCAGCATTGTTTTTCTCTGTGCCTCCATCTCTCCTCACCCGGGATCCCCTCTAAGATAAACTGCTACTGGTTCAGAATTTCTAAAGCATGTTTTATACTATTTCCTGGTTCAATGGATGCTGTTTATATTGTTGTAGTTATGCTAAACTGTTTCTAGTCTGGCCCCAATCAAATCTTATTAATCTCTTGAGTTGATATTTGAAGGCACTTTGCTTGAAATAGCTGCCTTATTCTCTCTAAAATATTCCATTCCATCAACAGAGTGGAGACAATCTGTCAAATGGGAGAAAATATTTGCAAACTATTTACATGGCAAGGGACTAATATCAAGAATATACAGGGAACACATACAATTTGACAGAAAAAAAAAAACTTAAAATGTGGGCAAACCAAATAACCAAATCAATCCTAAGCAAAAAAAAAAAAAAAAAAAAAAAAAGCCAGAGGTATAATATTATGACTTTAAATATACTGTAAAGTTATGGTAACCAAAACAGCATGGTAGAGGTGTAAAAACAGACACATAGAGCAATGGAACAAACAGAGCAGAGAACCCAGAAATAAAGAAACAAAGTCACATACCTACAACCATCTGATCTTCAACAAAGTCAGCAAAAATAATCAATGGGGAAAAAAGACTCTCTACTCAATAGATAGCCAGCTGGAACAGCTGGCTAGTCCTATGCAGAAGAATGAAACTGGACCACTACTTTCACTATATGTAAAAATTAACTCAAGATGGATTAAATATTTAAATGTAAGACTTCAGACTATAAGAATCTGAGAAAAAAAAAAAAAAACCTAGGAAACACCATTCTGGACATTGGCCTTGGGAAACGATTTATGAATAAGTCCCTGAAAGCAATTGCAATGAAAACAAAGTTCAACAAGTGGGACGTAATTAAACTAAAAGAAACTATGCACAGCACAGCAAAACTATCAACAGGATAAACAGATAACCTATAGAATGGGAAAAAAAATTCCAAACTGCATTCAACAAAGGCCTAATGTCCAGAATTTATAAGGAATTTAAATAATTCAACAAGCAAAAAACAACCCCATTGAAGAATGTGCAAAAAACATGAACTGCTGCGTCTCAAAACAAAACCCACAAGCAGCCAACAAACATATGAAAAAATGATCCACATCACTAATTTGCAGAGAAACGCATATCAAAATGACAATGACGTACCATCTCACACTACTCAGAGTGGCTATTATCAAACAGTCAAAAAACAAAAGATGATGGCAAGACTATGGACACAAGGGAACACTTACGTACTGTCAGCGGGAATGTAATTTAGTCCAACCACTGTAGAAAGAAGTTTGAAGATGTCTCAAATAACTTAAAACAGAACTACCATTTGACCCAGCAATCCTATTATTGGGTATATACCCAGAGGAATATAAATTGTTCTACCAAAAAGACATATGCATTCCTATGTTCATCGCAACACTATTTACAATAGCAAAGACATGGAATCAACCTAGGTGCCCATCAACAGTGGATTGTATATAGAAATTGTGGTACCTCTACCCCATGAAGTACTATGGAGTCATAAAAACATGAAATCATTTTCTTTGCAGCAACATGGATAGAGCTAGAGGCCATTACTTTAAGTAAATTAACAAACGAAACAGAAAACTAAATACTGCTTGTCTCACTTATAAGTGGGAGCTAAACATTGAGTACCTATGGACATAAAGATAACAACAATTCACACCACAGACTCTGAAAGTGTGGAGGGAGGAAGGAGGGCAAGCATTGAATAACTATTGGGTTCTATGCTCAGTATCTGGGTGAAGGGATCATTTGTACCTCAAGCCTCAGCATGATACAATATACCCATGTAATAAACCTGCATATGTCCCCCTGAATTTAACATAAAAGTTCAAATTATTTTTAAAAAGTGGGCAAAGGACATATTTAGACATTGCTCAAAAGCAGATATACCAATGACCAATAAATCTGTGAAATAACGCTCTCAACATCACTAATTCTCAGTTAAATGCAAATCAAAGCCACAGTGAGATATATTATTTTACCCCAGGTAGAATGACTATTATTAAAAAGACAAAAAATAACAGATGCTGGTGAATATGTGGAGAAAAGGGAATGCTGATACACTGTGGGAATGTAAATTAATATGGCCACTATGGAAAACAGTATGGAGATTTCTCATAAAACTAAATATAGATCTATAATCTCACTACTGGGTATTTATCCAAAGGAAAATAAATTACATCAAAGGGAAATCTGCACTGTCATGTGTATTGCAGCACTATTTAGAAGAGCAAAGATAGGAGATTAACTTGTGTCCATCAACAGACAAATGTATAATAACAAGGTGATAAATGGTCACAATGGGATACTATTCAATTATAAAAAGAATGAAATCAATTCATTTGTAGCAATATGTTGGATGAAACTCGAAGTCAGTATGTTAAGTAAAATAAGCCTGGCACAGAAAGACCATATTACATGTTCTCACTTTTATGTGTGAGCTAAAAAAGTTGGTCTCATAGAGGTAGTGAGTAGAATGATGAATGCCAGAGGCTGGGGAGGGTGTGTGTTAGGGGGAGGCAGGGATAAAGAAAGGCCTGGTTAATGGGTACAAACATATGGTTAGATAGAAGGAACAAGTTCTAATGTTCCATAGAGTCGTTGACTATATTAACAATAATGTATATTTCAAAATAGGTAGAAAAAAGGATTTGAAATGTTCTCGGCACATTGAAATGATAAATGCCTGAGTTTGTGAATACCCCAAATGCCTTGACATGATCATTACATAGTTTATGCATGTAACAAAATATCACGAGTCACATAAATATATTAAAATACTTGTATCTATAAAATATTACAAAAGAAATAAATTTTAAAAACATTTAGTCCCAACACAGTTACCAAACCTCCTATACTGAAATCCAGAATCTTTGGGGATTATGAGTTTTCCCAGTAATCATATGTTTTAGGTCTTGGTCAGGCTTGGTCAAGGCTCAGTGCTTCCTCAAGTATCTAACAGTGGATTTAGAAAAGTCTTTAGAAATACCACAAAAGGGAATAAATGCCCCACATGTAAGAACTATTTATTTCAATCATTTTAAGTAAACCAAACAGGCCATTTGAATTAAGTACTTTTGACACCAATAACATTATATAGAAACAATTTATACTTGAACTTTAATGATCAAACCAGAAAACAAGGTGTAGTATCCCATTTCTTTCACCAGGTCTCTGTTATAAAGCAGGATATTTCCCACAGCTGACAATATCCTTGGATTACGGGTTTTCTAAAGCCTAAAATGTCATCTGTATTGGCAAAAGCTTCTCTAAAGTAATCCTGATTATTTCTGCATCCCCCAACATCTTATTGAAGTCCCCCCCATCAAGTTTAATCTTAGCCCTTCAGAAGGAAGAGCCACCCACAGCAAAAATATTTACCAATGGACTTGAATCCACGTGTTCACAGCCCTATTGTCGTTAAATATAGAGAAATGGAAATGTAGTTTCTTAGCAGCTTGAACTACCATAACAAAATGCCATACACTGCATGGTTTACACAACAGAAATTTATTTTCTCACAGTTCTGAAACTTACAAATTCTAGATCAAGGTGCTAGCATTGTTGGTTTCTGAAATGGCTCTCTTGCCGATTTGTAAATGACCACCGTCTTTCTATGTCCTCACAAGACATGCACAGAGAGACAGAGAGAGAGAGAGAGAGAGAAACATGCAAGCACTCTGGTGTTTCTTCTTATAAGGGCATTAGTCTCATTATGAGGACCCCACCTTCATGATCTCATCTAAAATTAATTATCTCCCAAAGACCCTATCTCCAAATACCATCACGATGGGGTTCAGGGCTTCAAAATAGGAACTTGGGGTGGAGGGCTCAGTCCATAACAGGTAGGGATTGGGATAACTTCCATTTTCAGTAGTTTCAACAATAACAGTCATTGAACAGTTACTGTATTATTTATAACTCCATGGAAACTGATCCCAATAATGCTTTTATGTGTATTCAGGAAGTCTTTTTGACTTTATGCTGACCCACAGAGGGCTGGATCTCCAGCCTGTAGCATTTGGTCAGCCCCAGAGATATGAATAACTCCTTCCTTCTTCCTGAATTTCAACACGTACATGACCTCTGGCTTTTATTATATTTACCCTTATAGGATATGTGATTACATTTCCCTGAGATAGAATTGAGTATATATTCGTAGCTAAAAGTTACATTTGCGTTGCCTAAAACAGGCTTACACTTACATCTAAACCACCTTAATAATTTTAATTAGTTAAAAAATGCCAAATATCAGGTACACAAAATATCAGCAGTAAGACATATTCAGGTAGGTGAGAATTTTTCAAGATCTTTTTTTTTTTTTAATCTCATGACACTTGTCCTCAGCAGGAGCTTGGTGCATGTTTGCTGATGGATACATATCATGTGACAACACCACAGCTGATGGAAATTGGCTCATTCCAAAAACAGGGGACAAGGGCAGGGGGCGGGGTGGAGGAAGGCTGAGTTCAGTTTCAATATGATACACTTTAAAGTGATTTTTCCCCCTCACTGAAATGCTTGGTTCTTCAGATGAGTTCACTAATCTCTTAAGATGGGGCGGTGTGGACCATATCTTAGCACAGCATTGAGATATTTAATAAATTATCATAGAATAAATGCATAAACTCTCAATGCTGTCCGCCACTCATACCCTCACATACACACAAAGCAGTAAAGATAGAAATGCTATTCACATTTTTTTCTATTTTATTATTCTCAGAAACAGACACAGAATATGTTTTCCCCAGCTGTAGCATGGTATTGGACACTGGTGTCTATAAAAGAGAAGAATTAAATGCACATTTTAAATTAAAATTCCTTTTAAATATTTATTCGAAAGTCAAGCCATTAGCCAGTTAAAATAATAGTCTGTGATTCCAGATGCTGATGTGAGTTAACAAGTAAGCATGTTAGTGCTTTATTATACTAACGTTTAATGAGCTTCCATTCTGTGCCTGGCCCTCCGCATGGTTCTGAGATTTTAAAGATGAACAAGGTACAGGCTGGGCCCTCAAGATGCTCATAATCTAACTGGGAAGATAAATATACAAATATATACATCATAGTACATGTTTTTGTGATCAACAATATCCATATTAAAGACATGGTCTGTGACTCCAAAAAGAAAAATAAGAGAAAACTGGGGTTATCAGGTATAGAGACCACAGACTGAAATTCAAACGATGGAAAAAACTTGCCAAGCAAAGCCTCTCACAAATATATTCACATTACAGTGCTTATTTTCATATAACCCACTAAGTTCAAGTATAATTTCAAAAAAAAATTTTAAATGATTTTAGACTTATGGAAGAGTTTTTAAATTGCACTTAGACTTCCTACATAACTTTCATCCAGCTTCTTAAATATAAATATCTCACCTAGTCAGAGTATAATTATCAAAAACAAGGTTAACATTGATATAATTATATTAACTAATACATAGATCTTACTAGAATTCATAGGATCCAGGTTGGGCTTCTCAGTCTAATCCCTCATTTGGCTACAGCAATTAGTTTTGTCACGGCTCAATGCCTTATAATAGGCCAATGATAATTAAGCATTTTAATTTAATTTATTGGGAAATAAAAGATTCTTTTCTGCTAGAATTTCTAGGTATAGAATGACTTAATCTTGGAACTACGAGGGGAGAAGGATTTCAATATCAGAGATGGCCAGAGAAATAGAGAGAGATTCTGAATTCCATGATCACGTTCAAGGTACAACTGAAGATAGAGATCTATTCCTGAATATTTAGTTACATGACTAAACAAATCACTTTTCTGTTTAGACCACTTTCAGTTTGGTTTTCTGTTACATGCTAAATAAAAATACAGATGTTTATGACTAATATACATGCACAAGCAATTTCTTTTATATAAGAGCACTTTAAGTGACATGTGTATATAATTACTTATATAATTTCTACAGGAAACAAAGCTCTAAACAAATTGTAGAAAATGAATCTGTGCACTAAACGTGCTAACTAATTTGTCAAAGGCAAATTTTTTCTTTTTTTTCCAATTAAAAAAAAGTCTTGCTGTCTTCAAGAGCTACTTTCTTATAGGAAGAAAATCTAATCTATTTCACTGATTAATGAGACAGTGTATACATAGCACCCAGTACAGTGGTCTAGATTTTGTGCTAGACATTATGCCAGACCATTAATGAATGTCATCACTCCTTTCTTTTCCAGAATTCACAGGACATTCTCACCGTTGTTACCAAAGATTGTTCATTGAGAATAGAATCTAAGGTAGGTGGAGAAATTATATTGTGACTCTTGGTGAGTTCCTCAACTGCCCCTCTCACTCCCTCCTTTGGTGAAAATGGTGACTTACTGTGTGCCAGGAGATTGAAATTATCCTATTATATTCAGAATTTAAATAAAATTTGATATAAAAATTGCTGTGATTATTTTTTGTTCTCATCTTTGAATGCTGCAGCCAGGCTGAAAGCCCATGTGCCAAGTTTTCTGCCTGGAGGAAGATTGTGTGGCTGAGTTATAAATACATTGATGGATCCAGCTGGAACTGTCTCTTGTAATTTAATATGCAAAGAAATAATCTGAGTCATAGATGAAGACAAGCAGTTCCTTTTAGATAAGAGTGCTCTCTAAGTTTGGCTATGCAGATGACTTTCAAGAGACTTCTTCCAAAGAAGAACAAGAAATGGTCTCAGGACAAGTGGGGCAAAGCTTTGACCTTGAATCTAGCATTCAATTGCCTGTCCCGTCGTTCTTCCAAACATCAGCAAAGTGGCTTATGCCATCTAAATTCTCCTTCAGTAGGTTTTACATAAAAAGTCTGTTTTCCAATGTTGGAAACAAAATGGATTTTAATTTCTATAAAGTACACTTTTTAATATTCCTTCAAATTAAATAATATGTATGGGTAACTACTATGAATGAGATAACACGCTGAGCAGTGGAGGAGCAGGAAGACTAAGAAATAAAAATTGCAATTGGACCCTGCTCCTCGAAGTATAATGTTGAAATCACAATTTAACACATAGCCAGTTGAAATAGCTCTTAAAATATGCCTTTATTTTTTAAAATTTATAATATGATAATGCTATCATGTCAATAATAACATTAATAACTATTTAACAATTAATAATGATGCTATTAGTACTTTCTCAATAATAAGTGATTTCATTTGATAACATATGGAGACTGTTTCAGTTAACTATTGTTATCTAACAAGCCACTCCACAACTTAGTGGCTACGAACAGCAATTATTTATCATAAGTATGTGAAGTGGTTAAGAGATTCTCCACTATTTTTACCTGGATTCCTTCTTGCATTGCATTTATCAGCAGGATTGGCTGTCCTAGAAGCTGCCAGATCCTCTCATTTGCACGTCTGGTAGTTTGAGCTGACTGTCTGCTGAGGCACCTCCATTCTCCTCCACATGACCTCTCATTCTCCAGCAGACTAGATCAGTTTCCTCAAATGGCAGGCCCAGGGAAGTATTCCAAGAGGGTGAAAATGGAGCTTGCAAAGTGTATTTTGAAGTCAGGGAGTGTGACACCCCCTAGCTTTGTTATTTTTGCTCAGAATTATTTTGACTATTTGGGGTCTTTTGTGTTTCCATATGAATTGTAGGATTATTTTTTTCTAATTCTGTGAAGAATGTCATTGGTAATTTGATAGGAATTTCATCAAATCTGTAAATTGCTTTGGGAAGAATTGTCATTTTAACAATATTAATTCTACCAATCATGATCATGGAATCTTTTCATGGTTCTGTGCTCTCTTCAAATTATTGCATCGCTGTTTTATAGCTTTTCTTGTACAGATCTTTCACCTTTCTGGTTAAACTAATTCCTAGATATTTCATCTTTTTGACTCTATTATAAATGGGGTTGCTTTTTTGATTTCTTCTTCAGATTGTTCACTGTTGGCATGTCCAAATGCAACTGTTTTTTGTGTATTGATCTTGTATCCTGCAACTTTACTGATTTTTTTAATCAGTTCTAATAGTTTTTGGTAAAGTCTTTAAGTTTTTCTAAATATAAGATCATATCATCTGAAAACAGGGATAATGTAACTTCTTTCTTTTCAGTTTGGATGCTCCTTATTTTTTATTCTCTTGCCTAATTGCTCTGACTAAGACTTCCAGTATTATGTCAAACAAAAGTAAAACTAGGCATCCTTGTCTTGTTCCAGATCTTAGAGGAAAGGCTTTCATTTTATTTTCTTGTTCAGCATGGTGTTAGTTGTGGGGTTGTCATATATGGCCTCTTTTTTTTGAAGTATGTTCCTTCTATCCCAGTTTGTGGAGGAATTATTTTTTATCATGAATGGATGATTAATTTTATTAAATGCTTTTTCAGCATCTGTTGAAGACAGAGAGCAGATTGTTGGTTACCAGAAGTTAGGAAGGGTTGGGGTATGGGATAAAGAGAGGTTGATTAATGAGCACCAATACACAGATAGATAGAGGAAATAAGACCGAGTGTCTGATAGATCAGTAGGGTGACTACAGTTAACAATAATCTACTGCACCTTTCAAAATAGCTGGAAGAGAATAATTCAAATATTCCTAGCATAAAGAAAATATAAATATTTAAGGTGATGGATATTTCCAGTCACTCTGCTTTGATATTTACAATTCATATGAATGTATCAAAATATCACATGTACCCTCCAGATATGTATATGTATTATATATCACCTTAAAATTTAAAAAAAAATCCTGAAAAAAAGTAGAGAAATACAGATGGTAAACATGAGAAAGCTAAGGCTCAGAATGATTAAGCAATAGCATGAATAGTAAATAGCAGAGTGAAGAGTCAAACATAGATAACCATGAGACAAATGATTTTGACTTTTCCATGGTATCACACTGTTTTTGGTGTAAGCAATTTTGCCTCCAAGAGATTGTGTTATCTTTTATCATTCCTGATGGAGAGTGGTTGTGGATATTTTACCAATAATGAATAGAGGTTGAGAGAAGTTTGTGATTTTGCTGCAAATTGGTAAATCAGGATTATCATACAGCATATTGATATTAAAATTCACTCCCCCCACCTGCCCACCATATCCACTAACATTTCATTGATGTCATTAATTGATTGATTGCTTCATTCATTCATTCCCTCTAAAAGCTCTGTGTATTCCATTGTCAGGGCATCAGACTAAACCAAACAGGGCAGCTAAAAGATTGTTGTGGGCCAATGATGACTCAGACCGGGGTACAGAAATAGAGTGAAGTGAATTAGTCTCGGTATCATTTTGAGTTAAAACTATGTGAGACACCAATACTTTTTGTCCTCAGCTTCATCCTGAAATCTTCCCCTGCTCTGCTTTTTATTGCAAGAATGGAGCTGTGACTATCTCCAGTAGGCTTAATTTTTAAGGCTTTTTGGTCATCGAGATTCTCAATCAATGGAGTTACAATTAAGAGATTTGGATAAAAAGAAATAAGGAGTACAGGAGTGTTTCACCTGACCTCTCTCTGCTTCCTACCTCCATCCTCAGATGCATCTATGTACCCTACATGGCTTCTGGGAAAAGCCATGGAAATCCCACCTGTTTTACCAGCCAAAGTGTGGTAGAAATTTCCTGTGTTCCTAGGTGGCTGTATATTGTTTTCTTGGCTTTCAGTTTATCTACCACCAGTATTACAAATTCCTGGCTAAATTGCCTTGTTCTAAGTCCAATAATCCCTGGAAATCAGCAGGGGATTGAGTCTGAGACATCATGGATACCTAAATCCACAGTATAAAATGCTATGCTATTTTATACTTTGCTACATATAAAACAGCATAGTGTAAGCATACAACCTGCACACATCTTCCTGTATACTTTAAATCATTTCTAGATTACTTATAATACCTAACAATGTAAATGTTATGTGAATAGTTGTTACACTGTATTTTATTTGTACTATTTTTTATTGTTACAGTATTATTATTTTAAAAAATATTCCTGATGTGTAGTTTGTTGAATTCCTGGAGAATGTGGAACCTGTCAGTGTGGAACCTGCGGATTTAGAGGGCCAACTGTACTCACAGTGGATTTTATTTTCCTGGTTAGGCCCTGGACTGACATTGACAAGGTGATAGATGTTACAAAGAGAGTGAGCAATAGAGGAATCACAGTTTCAGGTTTGAGCAACAAGGTAGTTGTAGGTTTCTCTTATTAATATTTAGAAGTCTTGCATATGTATGGAGTTACTCATCCTCATCCTTTAAGACTTGGTTAAAACACCAATCCTAAGAAGACTTTGTTTTGAACTTCTTAGGTAGAATTGATTAAGTTTGAATCCCAGGTTTTTATTTTTTATATCATTTATCACTAATTGTATTATTATTTCTTGCTTTCTTCAGAAAATATTGTCTTCAGAAAAATATAAAATCTGCAGTAATAATGTCCCTTTGTTCCTTATTATGTTCCCAGTATACATATAGTAAGTGGTAAATTTGTATCTGTGAAGAGAAGATGGAAAAAAGAAAGAAAGAAAGGCAAACAGGAAGGAAAGAAGAAAAAAAGGAAGGGAAGGGAAGGGAAGGGAAAGGAAGGAAAGGGAAGGGGAGGGGAGGGGTGGAGAGGGGAGGGGAGGGGTGGAGAGGGGAGGGGAGGGGAGGGATGAACCTTGAACTTCTTCCAAAATGGTCCATCACTCACCAGCACACACAAACCTCATGTTAACAAGAACATCCTTACATCATGACGGACACAGGCTGAATCAGTCTCCTTGCTGAAAATGTCGCTCATGTCAAGAACCAGCCTGCATTTCTGGTCACACCTGCCCTATCCCAATATGTTCGGATTATTTTATCCACCTACCAGGAACCACCTTTACCACTTTGTTAGGCCTCAGATGACAATAAATGTCTATGAATGGGTCTTTTCCTATGTCTGTCCACATAATATCTGAATATCTTGTGATTTTTTTGTGCCTAATTAGATGTACCTTAAAAGCCTGACACTGTGATTCTTCTCTACATGGAATACTACAGCAAGATAGTAAGCCCCATCATAAACAACCCACCTCCACTCGAATATAATTAACCAGTTCATAATCAGATTTAGTCCTCAGAGTAGTACCTTGAAAGCAAGTGATTCAGAAAAAAAGAGGTGCATGGATTTGTGAATTAACTAGAGCCAGGTTAATCCCTCCTCCACCAGTTGTAAGTCTGATAAATCTCTTTCTTTCTGAAAATACGTCTTCACATTTGAAAGTAAAAAACAATTACTCAATGATGATTACAGTAACTGAAACACGTGATACATTAAGTAAACATTTGTTGGATAAAGGAGAGAACAACAACCTATGTCTGGGTTGCTATGAGATACATGTGCTTTTACGAGGGTGCAAAATAATAACAGAGTGCCTGCTCCACTGAGGGGCTCATCAAATGTGATCTCAACAAACCTCCAAGTCCTGACTGATATTAAATTACTAGATGTCAAAAGATGCCTATTCTACCCAGCCACTATAATCTTTAATGGCACTGGAAATCCCACAAGACTCTGTCTTAGCCAGCCTTTATTTGGCTGCAGTGATTGTTACTGTCTACCCAATTTTTTCCTGTGTATTTGTGTTCACTTCATCCTCTGCAAAACCCTCAACCTCAGCATTGCTAACCCTCATGTAGTCATCTCCCATTGCCGAGCACCTTGTTTCTTTCTGAATTTTTGTACTTTCAGGTTATAAAGAAGTTACACTGTAGACTTGGAGTCATCACCCTTTGCCCACACCCAGTGATTCTTTCATAGAAATAACCCTAAATGCATTCTTTCTTCCCTGTCTCTACTACTTCTGCTTTAGCTTTAGTCTATGTTGTCTTATTGCTTAGTTACTTTTTTCAGTAGAGTGCTGATCTGATCACTTGAGGATCCTCAGTTCCTGTATATTTTACTATTTGTGTTGTTATTAGAGTAACTTTTCTTTTAAAATCCCACAAAAATAGATGAAAAAATGACAATCCTACCCAGCCATCATATTTCCCATTGTAGTAACCTGGGTCCTCATGGAAGAAAGCACAAACTTTTGACCATAATATAGCATGCTCCTCACACTCCAGACCTTGTCTACTTTCCTGGCCTTGTCATTAAGGTGATCACATACTTTTTATAATGGAAAAGAACACTTTCATTAATAATTATCTAAGACAACAGGTATTGACTGGGACTTCCCTTAGCAAACAGAGATGTGTATTCATTTTAGTTATCATCTCTCATTTTAGGTACCCTGAAGTGCTGGTCTTTCCCATAAAAGCCATGTGCTGTCACGCCCCTCAGCCTTTGATCGTGTTGTAACATTTGCTCATAAAACTCCTCCCTCTTTTGCTTTCTGAGCATCTACAAAATTTTGAACGCCTGTTACTAATTTACCTGTGTGGTGAAGTCTGTGGCAGAATTTTACATTTTGCAACATTAACATGAGCCTGGATTATAACTGATACTATGTATTACTATACAAATAAAATCACACCTCCTTCTCCAATCTTTCATTGTGAATTTGGAGGACTCAGTAGTCCTGCCTTATTTATTTTTGCATTTCCTGTGCCTAACACAAAAGTTTGTCAGATAGTATATAACAATAAGTGTTTTTTAGTAGTGGAATAAATCTCATTTTGGCTTAACCAATGCTGCTTGAGCAAACATCATTGCTACATAGGACTGTATTTGAAATTCAGTCCAATGGCCTCATTTCTGTTTTGAGGGTCCTTCTTATGTTTAAGATTACAAAAATGTGTTTTGTGACTGGAATACTCCCAAGTGAAAACAGTGAGATGGAAAAGAAGATGAAGATACTCAGGTCTAATATGCCTCAAAGGAATTTAACTGTGAGGCAGGAAGATCTAGACAGATTAAAAAAATGGCATTTATAAATATAAAAACAACAGATAGTGATAAGTGTGAGTTGGAGAACTGGAGCACGTTAATATGCTAGCACCAAGGTGGGGTGGGCAGACACAGCCTCTTTCCAAGTTGGTAACATTTCAGTTGAGATCTGTAGCACAAGAAAGTAGTAGTGGAAGATGGGGAAGTGAGTATTACAAGGAAGAAAAGCAATATGACTTGTATTTTTCCTATTTTCAGCAAGTTTTCCTGCTTCTGGACATGTTTCTTTGGACTTCTTATCACCACATTCCTTTAGTATGTTACAAAGTGGGATCATATGACATAGAATAAATATAAAAAGAAGAACTACTGTGTTTTATTCCCTTCCCTCCATTTTTAATATACTTTATTTAATAGACTCATTATTTTTTAGTAGTTTTAGATTCACATCAGACTGAAAAGTGCAATAGAGTTCCCACATTCTCCCCTCTACTCTCTCTCTCTCAGTCTCCTCCACTATCAACATTCCCTACCAGAGTGATACATTCGTTACCAATTGACACATCATTATTAACCAAAGGCCAGAGCATACACTATAGTTCACTCATTGTGTTATGTTTGTGTTATGGTTTACTCTTTCTGTCATCTTACATCTTGAGTCTGACAAATGTATAATGATATGTATCCACCCCATAGCATCCTGTGGAATAGTTTCACTGGCCTAAAAATTCCCCATACTCCGTATAGTTATTCCTCCCTCCCCCAAATCCAATGGTCATTTTACTATCTCCATTGTTTTGCCTTTTCCAGAATATTACATACATAGAATTACACTGCAGGTAGCCTAGCTTTTAGGCTGTCTTATTTTACTTAGTAACATACCCTTAACACGAAAAGATGTGGAACATCTTTCTGTGGTTTGATAGCTCATTTAGTTTCATATTTGTTTTATTTTATTTTATTTTTTGCTATGATAATTCTTTATGCAAGTTTCATGCTATGCATGCTGGTTGTCACAACTGCAATTCCTTTGAACCTGGTAATGAAGATTTTTGAAAGTATAAACCTAGTAAATTCTTCATAGATACAAAGCTAAAATTAAAAACAAACTCAAAATTAAAATGTTTCTTTCAAAAAAAGGCACAATTGAGAACATGACTTTTGAAAACAGGGAACAAAAATAAAACTTAGCAGAGGAAGAAAAATGTAATATACCACCAAACACACACGCTCAGCAATCCTACTAACAGTATCAATTGTCCTTGGCATTTTGCTTTACCACCAGCAGCCTCTAAGAATAAACAATATGAAGGCACAGCTTGTTCATCTCTTCACATGCTGCCCCAAACATACGTTATCAAAAGTTTCCCTTTTAAAAAATATCATTAAAAGCATTAAAGATAAATCAGGCCTTTGTGGGTTTAATTATTCAGAATATTGCATTTTAATTCTTTATTAATATTCCGTATTTGACAAACACATCCGGAGAATTGAGGAGGTTATAATAAAAAGATTAATTGACTTCATTAATATTCTGGAATAGCCTAATATGTGCATCAACTGGGAAAGCACATCCACCTTCTCTCAGGCAAGCCCCAGACTAGTTTGCAACCTTGGGAAAACTGCATGACATCTTTAAGCCTTCATCTTCTCATCAGTAAAATATGGAGAGCAATAATGTCTTTAGCATGGAATTCTTATAAGGATTAATGAAGCATGGTATCTTACAAAGTAGCACAATGCCTGGCACATAATAAAGTGCTCAATATGTACTTAACCATTATTCAATATTATTTTCAGTTACAGGAACAAGGTAGAAACATTTCTATACTCCTTTGAGGGATTAAGGAACACTCTTCGAAGGTGGTGACACTTGAACGGAGTCTTCTAAGATGATATCACATGCTCCAAGGGGTTGAGGCACTCCACACAGCAGAAATAACATCAGCATAACTTTGTATTGAAATACTATGCTTCTCTTCCTGTCATTGACTTACTGTTGGCCACCACTCAAGACTATATTCTTCAGTTTTAGTGCATTGAGAAAATCGAAGGAATAATTAGAACACAGATATGTTGCTATAATTTCCCACCAGGGTGAGATAATCTAACCATCCCAAACAGGGCATGGGATGCATAT